>NC_000004.12:118163805-118315320 GCF_000001405.40 Homo sapiens
CATACCAGTCAGAATGGCTATTACTAAAAAGTCAAAAAATAACAGATGCTGGTGAGGTTGCAGAGAAAAGGGAATGCTTGTACACTGTTGGTGGTAATGTAAATTAGTTCAACCATTGTGGAAAGCAGTTTGGCAATTCCTCAAACACCTAAAGACAGAACTACCATTTGATCCAGCAATCCCATTACTAGATACATACCCAAAGGAATATAAATTGTTCTATCATAAACACACATGCATATGTTTGTTGCAGCACTATTTACAATAGCAGACATGGAACCAGCCTAAATGCCCATCAGTGGTAGGCTGGATAAAGAAAATGTGGTACATATACACCATGGAATACAATGCAGCCATAGAAAGAACAAAATCACATCCTTTGCAAGAACATGGATGGAGCTAGAGGCCATTATCCTTAGCAAGCTACCACAGGAACAGAAAACCAAATACCACATGTTCTCACTTATAAGTGGGAACTAAATGATGAGAACACATGGACACAAAGAGGGGAACAACAGACACTTGGGCTGACCACAGGGTTGAGGCTGGGAGGAGGGAGAAGAACAGAAAAAATAACTCTTGGGTACCAGTCTTGGGTACGTGGGTGATGAAATAATCTGTACATCTAACCGCTGTGACATGAGAGTACCTATATAAGAAAGCTGCACGTGTAACCCTGAATCTAAAATTAAAAGTTAGAAGAAATAAAGACCTATATAAGCAAATACTGAGGGAGTTTATTACCACTATATCGCCTTTACAAGAAATGCTAAAAGGAGTCCTTCAAGTTGAAATGAAAACACCCTAGGCAGCAGCAGAAATTATTATGAGACCATAAAGCTCACTGGTAAAGGTAAATATACAGAAAAATAGATAATACTGTAATATTTTAGTGGCTGTGTATAAATCACCTTTAATTCTGATACTCAAGTTAAAAGGCAAAAGTATAAAAAACACTATAACTATATGACAATAATAAAAAGGGCAAGGGAGGTGAAAGAATAGAGTTTTATATCCAATTGAAGTTAAAGTTGTTATCAGCTTAAAATATCAACTTTATATTTGTTACAACTATAAGATGTTTTATGTAAGCCCCACAGTACCACAAAGAAAATACTTTTTAAAAACTACCAAATAAATGAGAAAGAAATCAAAGCCTATCACTATACAAAAATCAACAAAACACAAAGGAAGACAGCAAGAGAAGAAAAGATGGACAGAAAAGCCTCAAGACAAAACAATTAACAAAATGGTAATAGTAAGTGCTTCCCTATCAGTAGTTACATTACATGTAAATAAATTAAACTCCTCAATCAAAATGGATATAGTAGCTGAATGGATAACAAAAACAAGATCCAGCTATTGTTGTCTACAGAACACTAGCTTTAGATTTAAAGACACTCACAGGCTGAAAGTGAAAGCATGGAAAATTTATTCCATCCAAATGTTAACCGAGAGAGCAAAAGTAGCCATATTCATATCAGAAAAAATGGACTTTAAGTCCAAAACTGTCACACAAAAAAAGAAGGACATAATCTAGTGATTAAAAAGTCAATTAACCAGGAAGATATAACAATTATAAATATAAACGCATGCAAATTCAAAGCACCCAAATATGTGTAATAATCATTGAGATAACTGAAGGGAGAAATAGACAGTAACACAATAATAGTAGAAGATAGCATCCTACTTTCAACAATAGAACACTTAGACCAAAAATCAATAAGAAAACAATACTTGAACAACACTATAGACCCAATTGACCTGGCCAACTGATACAGAACATTTTACTCAACAGCAGCAGAATGCACATGCTTCTCAAACTCACACAAAATACATTCCAGGATAGATTACATGTTGGATCACAAAATAAGTCTCTTTTCAGAACATTGATATCATACCAAGTATCAATTCCTACCACAGGGAATGAAACTAAAAATCAATAGCAGAAGGAAAAATGGGAAATTAACAAATATGTGGAAATTAAATAAAACACTCTTCAATAACAATTTGGGTACAAGAAAAAAATCAAAAGAGAAATTTAAAAATACCTTGATATAAGTAAAAACAAAACACCTACCAAAACTTATGGAATGCAACAAAAGCAGTATTATGAGGGAAGTTTATAGTGATAAATGTCTACATTTTTAAAAACAGAAAGAATTAAAATAAATAGTTTAATTCTACCTCAGGGAAACTCAAGAAACTAGAAAAAAAAGAGCAAACTAAACTCAAAATTAGTAGAAAGGAAACAATAAAGATTAGAGCAAAAATAAATGAAATAGAAAATATAAAAATAAGAGAAAAAATCAATGAAATTGGTTTTTTGAAATGATTAACATCATTGGCAAACCTTTAGTTACTAACAAAAAAGGAAGAAGACTCAAATAAATAAAATTGGAAATGAAAGAGAAGACATTACAACTGATCACTGGAATAAAGATGATCATAATAGTCTATAATGTACAATTATACACTGATAAATTGGAATAACCTAGAAAAAATGGATATATTTCTAAACACATACAACCCCCAAGACTTCATCTTGAAGAAATAGAAAATCTGAGCAGGCTTGTAACTAGTAAGGAGACTGAGTCACTAACCAAAAGCCTTCCAACAAAGAAACTTCCAGGAACAGATGTCTTTACTGGTGACTTATATCAAACATTTAAAGAACTAATGCCAATCCTTATCAAACTCTCCAAAAAAACGGAATAGAAGGGAACTCTTCCAAACTCAGTCTATGAGGTCAGCAATAGCCTGATACCAAAGCCAGACAAATATACTATGAGAAGAGAAACTATAGGACAATATTCTTGATGAACATAGATACAAAAATCCTCAAAAAAATAGTGCAAACTAAATTCAACAGCACATTAAAAGGTTATACACCATGACTAAGTGGCATTGATTCTTGGGATGCAAGGATGTTTCCACATACAAAAATCAGTTAATGTAATATACCAAAATAACATAATTAAGGATAAAAATGTTATGATCATCCCAATAGATACAGAAAAATTGTTTGACAAAATGCAATATGATTTCATGATAAAAACTTGCAACAAAGTAGGAATAAAAGGAAATTACCTCAACGTAATAAAAGCCATATATGAAAAACCCCACAAGTAACCTCATTCTTCATGGTAAAAACCTGAAAACTTGCGTGAGGAACAAGGCAAGGACTCCCACTGTGATCATTTCTATTCAACATTGTACTGGAAGTACTAGCCATAGCAGTTAGGCAAGAAAAAAAAAAAGACATCCAAATTGTAAATAAAAGAGTAAAATTATCTCTGTTTGGAAATGACATGATCTTATATTTAGAAAACCCTAAAGATTTCACACAGAAACATACACACGCAGGCACACATGCATGCACACACACAAAAACAACTGTTAGAATTAACAGTTCCAGGATACAAAATCAACATACAAAAATGAGTTATGTTTCACTAACCACAAACTATCCAAAAAGAAAATTAAGAAAACAATCCCATTTATAATAGCATAAAAAAGAATAAAATACATAGAAATAAACTGTCCCAAGTCAGTAAGCAACTTGTACACTGAAAACTGCAAAATATTCCCAAAAGAAATTAAAGAAGATACAAATAAATGGAAAGATACTCCATGGTCATAGATTGGAAGGTTAATATTATTAAAATGTCCATACTACTCAAAGTAATCTACAGATTAAATGCAAACCTCATCAAAATCCCAGTGGCATTTTTTACCGAAATAGAAAAAACAATCCTAAAATTCACATGGAACCACAAAGGGCCCCAAAAATCCAAAACAATTTTGAGACAGGAGAACAAAGCTGGAAGCATCCTACTTCCTGATTTGAAAATATATTACAAAGATATAGTAATTAAAGCAGTATGGTGATGTTACAAAGATAGACACATAGACCAATGGAACAGAATACAGAGCCCAGAAATAAATCTATGCATATGTTGTCAACTGACCTTTGACAAGGGCATCAAGAATACCCAATGAGGAAAAGATGGTCTCTTCCACAAATGGGGTTGAGAAAACTGAATATTCACATATAAAAAATTAAAATGGACCCTTATCATACACCATACACAAAAATCTATTTAAAATGGATTAAAGACTTAAAAGTAAGACCTGACACTGTAAAATATTCCAATAAAAACATAAAGGAAAAACTTCATTACATTAGTCTTGGCAATGATTCTTGAATATGACACCAAAAGCACATGCCACAAAAGCAAAAATAGACAAGTGGTGGAATTACATCAAATTAAAAAGCTTCTGCACATTAAAAAAAATAAAATAACCAACTGAGGGAAAATGCAACCTATGGAATGGGAGAAAATACCCTCATATTGTATGTCTAATAAGGAGTTAATATTCAAAATATAAAAGGAACTGCTACAACTCAATAGCAAAAAACAAAAACAAATAATCCAATTAGAAAGTAAACAAAGAACTTGAATAGTCCTTTCTCCAAAGACGACATGACCAACAGGCATATGAAAAGAAATTATAGGTCAATGCTCCTGATGAATATAGATGTTTAAAAAAGTCACTAATCATCAATTTTTATATAAATTCATATATATAAATATAAGTAAGTGCTAGTGAGAATGTAGAGAAATTTACATACATACAAAAGTCACTAATCTCATATATATACACACAAGTGCTAGTGAGAATGTGGAGAAATTAGAACTCTTGTACACAGTTGGTAAGAATGTAAAATGGTACGGCTGCTATGGAAAACTATGGAGGTTCCTCAAAAAATTAAAAATAGAACTACCATATGATTCAACAATTTGACTTCCGGGTATACATCCAAAAAAACTGAAATTGGGATCTTGAAGAGATACATGCACTCTCATATTCACTGCAGTATTATTCACACAGCCAAGATGAGGAAACAACCTAAATGTCCATCAATCGGCAAACGGGTAAAAAACGTAGTATATTCATACAATAAAACGTTATTCAGCCTTGAAAAGAACAGGGAAATCCTGCTATGTGTGACAACATGGATCAACATTGAGGACATTATGCTAAGTGAAATAAGTCAGTCACAGAAGAACAAATACTGCTTGATTCCACTTAACATGAGATATCTGAAACAGTCGAACTCATAAAAGCAGATAGTAGATTTATGATTGCCAGGAGCTTGGGGAGGGTTCAATGGATATAAATTTTCAATTATGCAAGATGAATACCCTCTAGAGATCCAGTGTACAACACACACACCTATAATTAACAATACTGTACTGTATATTTAAATTTTTAAGAGGGTAAATTTCATGTTATATTGTTGTATTTTTTTACCACAATTTTTAAAAAGAAAAAAAGAAAGAACTTTTAAAATATCTTTTTGTATTCTTAATCTAATGAAGAAATAATCAGACAAATGCAAACACTGATATATTCTATAAAACAAATAGTCTGGACTTTTCTAAAAAGGACAATATAGTGTTTTTTAAAAATAGGAAGAAAGAGGATTATTCTAGCTTAAAAGAAACTAAAAGGCATAATAATGTAATGTAATTTATAAGCCTAAGCTTTCATTGGATCTGGAATTTTTAAAAATATACATCTATAAAAGTCACTTTTAAGTTATTTTTTAGCCCCAAAATAAAGAGGCTTAAAAAAACATTAATCATTTTACAATCTCTCATGATTTCTGTAGGTCAGAAATCAGAAAAACCTGAAGTGGGCCGGGCACAGTGGCTCACGCCTGTAATCCTAGCACTTTGTGAGGCTGAGGCAGGCGGATCACCTGAGGTCAGGAGTTTGAAACTAGCCTGGCCAACATGGCAAAACCCCGTCTTTACTAAAAATAAAAGAATTAGCCTGGCATGGTGGCTGGTGCCTGTAATCCCAGCTACTCAGGAGGCTGAGGCACAAGAATCGCTTGAACCCAGGAGGCGGAGGTTGCAGTCAGCCAAGATCAGGCCACTGCACTCCAGCCTGGGTGACAGAGCAAGACTCCATCTCAAAAAAAAAAAAAAAAGAGAGCTGAACTGGGTGATCCTGGCTCCAGGTTTCTCATGAGGTTGCAGTCAGATGGTAACTAGAGCTGGAAAACCAGGTGGCAGTGACTAGAGCATCTGTGAGCTGGTGGGCATCTCTTCATGTAGTCCCAGGGCTTTTCCATGTGATCTTTACCGGGGGGCTTATCTGGGTCTCTTCCCAGAACAATCAGACAGCTTTAAGGCTCCATCAAGTGTTGCAGCAAGTAAGGCAGAAGCAGAATTGCCTTGGATTCAGAAGTCACAGCATCACTTTTGCTGTCACAAAAGCCTGCCCACATTCAAACACAGAATAAATAAATTATCTCTCTTTATAGGAGACTGACAACATTCTGGAAGAAAGAGAAATTGTGGTAGTCATTTTTGGAAAATAGAATTTACCACAGACAACAATGAGGCAGTTGGGGAAATTTAAATCTGGACTGTATAATAGATGATACTGAATTAATAACCAGTTTTCTTAGGTGTGATGATGAGATTCAGTTATATAAAAAATGTACTTATTCTTACATGATACATGCCAAAAGATTTAATGGCAGTGTCTTGATATCTGCAACTTGTTTTCAAATGATTCAGCAAAATAAAAAATAAAGAGAGAGACCGGGCACCATGGCTCACGCCTGTAATCCCAGCACTTTGGGAGGCAGACCCAGCACTTTGGGAGACAGAGGTCGGCAGATCACGAGGTCAGGAGTTCGAGACCAGCCTGGCCAATATGGTGAAACCCCATCTCTACTAAAAATACAAAAAATTAGCCAGGTTTGGTGGTGCACACCTGCAGTCCCAGCTACTTGGGAGGCTGAGGCAGAAGAATCGCTTGAATCCGGGTGGTGGAGATTGCAGTGAGCCGAGATCGCACCACTGCACTCCAGCCTGGGCGACAGAGTGAGACCCCATCTCAAAAAAAGAAACAAAGAAAAAATAAGTGTGGTGAACTGTAAGTAATCAGAGAATAGGTAAAGGTTACACAGATGTTCACTCTACTAATTATTTGCCTTTTCTATAGATTTAGGATATTTTTCTCAATTAAATGAAGAGAAAGTAAAATATAAGTCAGATAGCATTATTTTTCTGCTCACAACCCTCCAATCTTCTCTCTTCGGAGTAGAAGGCAGGCTGCTTACCAAGGCCTGCAAGATCCTGTGTGATTCCCAAAGCTTACCTCTCTGATTTCATCTCCAGGCAAAGGAAACAGCAAGTACAAAACCCCCATGAGTGTGCTTGGGGTGTTTTAGAAACAGCAAGTTGTTTACAATTTCCTACTTTTAATTGATGTTTCAAATATCTTCTACTTAAACCTTTGTGTACACTTCTTAGAGAATTCCTATTTTGACCTCAAGTCCCTGCCTACTCATTTCTTTCTTTGTAGTAGAAACTTCAGCCCTAAAAGAACTCAGTCAAAGCCAAATCATTTCTCACTACCCCCAAAAAGGCCTACAAATTTGGGCCAGGAGAGGCAATCCTGGCAAGGAAATTTTTTTAAAAAGGTCCCAGTTACACTCAAATTGGGAGTTTCACTAAATTGATATCCCCCTTAGGATGCTTAATGCTCAGCTTCAATCTTACCTCCAGGGCATATGATATTGTATCATATCTGAGATTTAGATTGCTGAGGCATTTCCTATCATAACTCAGTAGGTTCTTAAGATTTTACTTTGCAGAGTTTAATCCACTGGGGTTTTTTTGTCTGGTTGCTTAGGCTAATGCTGCTTGGTGTTCTGAGCGACCTCACTTCCCTGTGGCCCTAGAGTGTGGGGTGACCTGTTGCAGATGTTAGTAATTTCCTATCTTGGGTGGAGGCCCTCACAGAAGCTTTATTTGCATATGAGTGTATTTGCCCCTGATGTTTTGGTCTTGGATGTCAGCGGAATTGTCCGTCCTTCTGAAGGTCATACAATACCGCTTTCCAGGGAGGTATTATAACACAGATAATTGAATAATTGGGCCCTCTCTGTTTTCCAAAAGGAGTGGGTTTGCCACATCTTTTCTTGCAAACTAGCAAACCTAGGGTTAAGTAGGGCTTGTTGGTAAATGTAGCGTGTCAGGAGCTCACAGCCAGATATGAGCCAGTAAGCAACGTAGGTGTCCTGGGATGACAAAGGAGGAACATACACACCTCAGTTGTCTTGCTGATTCTACTCTGTGCTTCCATGTCCCCTTCTGTAAAAATGTCAATAACACTACAATAATAATAGAGGTCTCTCTTATGAGAAATTGGTTATTTAGTAGACATTATAAATCAAGGTTTCAAAAAGTATTATCGGGCCATCTCAATGTTCATTGCAGTTGGCATCAGTAAAGTGAACATGGTCAAGGTGATATTCTCTAACCATAGTAAAATAAAGGGCTGAGGCATTCATTTGGTGTAAATAGGACAAACACCAGGGAGGCTTGGCCAGGTGTCTTTTGTAGTAAAATTGGGATTCTGAGATTGCTGTTTTCCAACTTGGCAACAGCCTTAAACATCTTGGTATCCTTTAATGTTATGATTCCACTTCTAGGGATGTCTCCTAAGGAAAGAGTGCTAAATAGAGAAAAAGTGTAAATTGTAATGGCGACAGAAAATAGAAACAACCTGAATGTCCAACTGAAGGGAAAATGTGTAAATAAATCATATTCACTTTATAGATGATTGTACAGACTTAAAAATTTATGCTTATGAATAATTTGGTGATAACATGAGGTATGAGAGATATGTATAAAAAGAATACAAAATTATACATAAATGGCAAAGTTTTAAAACAAAATGTCATTAAAATAACAAAAAGATATGGATCTTTGAATGTTGAGGATTGGGCATATTTTTCTTTCTGCTCTTCCATATTTTTTAATTTTTCTTTAATGATTTTATGTCACTTTTTCTAACAAGAAGGATAAAGCACTGATTAAAAGTGCTAAGATGAGTTCTTAGCAAAGAATGATTATTCCTATCTAATTATGTATTAACATTTATATGAATCATACTAACATTATATGACTCATTTTAAGATAATATATTAAGAGGTTCATTAAAATGATACTTTTTGAGTATATAAGGAATCTTTTTCTTCACATTTCAAAACATTAACTCTTTCTAAAAGTCCATAGTGTGAGAGGTAAAACACTAATAATATGTAAACTATCAGCAATTGTACTTCTCGCCATAACAACTGTATGGATTGCAGACAAGAACAAGGAAATAAATAAGAAAGTCCCCTTGAGAAGGGAGAGAAGACAAAAGGAATCTACTTTGTGCCAGGCAATGTGCTACATGCTTTCATAAATGACCTTATTTAATCCTCACAACAACTCTATGAGGCATATATATGTGTGTGTGTGTGTGTGTGTATATATATATATGATAAAATAAGATATATACACATCTTATTTTACCCTAGCAGCAATTCTGTTAGATGAGGAAACTGAAAATTCTAATAGATGAAGAAACTGAGGTTCAAAGAAGTTGCATAATTGGACCAAAGGAAAACAACTAAGAAACAAGCCCACATTCTTTCCACTGTCATTGTGCTTTGTTGATAGACTACCCCTGGCCCATGCTCATAGCCTTAGATAGCCTCATTTTTAAACAGAATTTGGTCACACTTCTTAGTCTGGTTTCTTATCCTAAGGGATGTAGTATACACAAACATTAGAACATGACAGAAAGAAGAGAAGGAATGCTAGAGCAATAGCAATGGGGAATGAAAGCTGACAAAAGAGTAAACCACCAAAACAAAAAAACAAAAACAAAACTCAACCCTATTAAAAAGCAGCCCAGGAACTCAAAAAGCATAGCTATATAGCAGTATGGAACTATTTTATGACAGAATATACAACTCTATGTCATGCTGAGGTAATCATCATATTCAGTACTTTATTTTCCATATACTCTGTATGTACACACTCTGTATACAGTATGTATATGTATTAGGGGGAATGTAATATATAAAAATTTTTTGAACAATGGGTATTGCCACTCTTTCCTTTAAGGGTTCTGGCTTGATGAAGTTTTGTTCATTGGTTTGTCTTGCTTTGCTATTGTAATACATAGAATTCCAGTAGAAGATCTACAAACACAAGCTGATTCTTAAACTGAGAAAGCAATATCCAGAGTCAGAACTTGCTTTTTGCTTATCTACCTAACTAAAAGCTGAAGAATAAATGAAGCAGTGACTGGTTATTGATACACTTTGCAACATTTCACTAGAACAACTTAAAACTGGAATTGAAGCATCAACTGAAGATTTCTGTGCAACTGTGGTTTAAATTGAATGCTGCGCTTTGTATAAACATAATTTTTTGTGGTTTAACTTTAGGCTGTTCTCTGCGGTCTTCCCATATAATGGGAATGCGTCAGAAGCACAGCTTCGTTTCCTGTGTAGGCTGGAAACTGTTAACTGCAAAGTTTGGAGACAGTCTCAGAGAGCTCACTGCCATATGTTAAACTAAACTTGATATGAAAAATCATATCAGTTTCCAGTTTCCCAGAACATTAAAAAGAAAAATAAAAAAGGAGCTCAAGCTTTATAAATATAAAAAGCATCTGTCTGCACAGGAAATTCTACTCTGTTATTTTGCAAATGATCCCTACTTATATTTACAAGAGAAATCAGATCTGATGAACTATATGGAAGTAACACATTATTTTGTTCAAAATTTTGAAATATATATTTATAATTCTGTACAGCTGGCTGGACTGTGAACTAACTATCATTGTACAGAGATCTCAACAGTGCTGCCCAGCATGATCTTAAAGCATGTATGTTTCCAAGTGAAAGGTGATGGAATATTTTGACAGCATGCTGCTAACTTAAACATTTTTGTTTAATGTAATTTTTGTGTCTAAGTGCTCCCAACCACCATTTCCAAGACAAGAAGACTCATGAGCATTCAGAAAACATTTGGCACTGTTTCATTTTAATTTTTTACTTCTCCTTGACTCTTTGAGCCTAGAAAGAATTTTCTCTGTAGTTGCTCACCCAGGTACAAGTGTCCTTGAGTTAATCTTCGGTAGCTCATTTTAGAATCCGACTGTGACTAAAGTTGGATTCTGTGACTGCCTTCTTGCCTGCCTCTCCACTGTCACCTATAATTTTGTCATTTCTTTTGCTCTGAACCAGCTTGCTATGCTAAAAGCCATCCCTTCCTTTCACATTTTATAATCCTCATAAGATTAACAGCCAAAATCCATGACCAGAACTCTGACCACGTACAGTCTACAGAGGACTTCATGCTACCTTGATAATACCCCGTATTTTACCAGCAACCATCTCTCAGACTTGACTATAACCCTCTGGTGTACCTCATCAATTCAATGCTCCAGTGTTTATCCTTGATTTCATTGTTTTCTTGCCTCACAGAGGTACCTAGAGATTTTTTCCAACAGAATCTTTCTGCCTTTTTCACTTAATAGCCTATCTATGCCAGTATTCCCAAGTAAACTCCCTTTAACTGTAAAGCCATTAATTTTTTCTTCTGATTTCTTCTTTTCTCTTTCCCACCTTTGTCTTGCCCAGTTTTTACTTATTTTCATTCCTCTAGTAACTTAGGCCTCCTCTTACTCTCAGTTCCTTTTATTACCATTATTTTCTCTAAAATCAGATTAATATCATATATTAATAATAATTAGTCATCCATCACTAAGTAGTGCCCACATTTACTAACTTCTCTGACTTAAAAGTTGCTGTCTTATCTATGTTCTTTTCTTTCCTAGACAACACTTTGGAATAGTATCTTTTCTCCCCCTACCTTATCACAAGAAGATTAAAATGACTCTTCTAGTAACAATTACACCTACCCTCTCTTATCTCGCACACTGGGAGGCACACGCCATGGGCCCTCCTTGATAGAGGTGAAGCTAAACCATATCCTTGTGGCAACTTATAAAAACCTCAATTGTGTGGTTTGCCTCTGCCTGTTCCTGAGGGCATGCAGACATAACGAACTTCTCTCTCAGCCTGGACCTGTGCTGGAAAAGAGTTTGACGCCCACTAAAACAGGCATTTCACTGTGAATTAGAAAGCCTCTGGAGAAGAGACTTTATGTAAATGTGTGTTCTCAGTGTGGAATTGTTCTTCCATGTTTACAATTGTTTGTGTGTCTTTTTCTCTGTGCCAAATTTCAGGTGACTGGAGACTGATTAGCTGGTCTGTGCTATCCTTACTCCACTTTAGCCAACACATTGCACATTCTTACCTCCAAAGTGGCAAAAAATGCAAATGTGTATCATTATGCTTTATTAGCTTTAGTAAAAAGTTTGCCATATTAAAGGTTAAAATTTTTGGCAATTTTTTGTACTCCTCGAATATCTAATTATTTAGATTAAAATAATTATATAATTATTCTAGTTACCTTTCTTGAATTTAAGTCTTAAAAAAAACCCTGCAAGCAAACATTTACCTATGTAACAAACCTGCACATCTTGCACATGTACCCCAGAACTTAAAATTTAAAAAAAAACCTGCAAGCAAACCTATCCCCTACATATTTTCTCATACTTCATCCATACATTTAACATTATAAATTCTTTTAACTGTTTCTTCTTAAATTACTTTGCACTATGCCTTCATAACATTATATGCAGATAGAAAGTTGCATATTATTATGACCAAAGGTCATTTATTATCTAACCTTTCATCTTGGTGTTGATGATGGTCAGCTCATTAAATTGTTCTTCTCAACCTGGGAGAATTAAGCCCTAATGCTCTTATGAATCCATTGCACGTGATGAGTTCACTTCTCTAGCTTTGTACCCTTGTTGTGAGAATTATGAAAATAGGCAGTTGAATTATTTTCTCCATAATGATATAGAGAAATAATAATACAGAGAATGTGGAATGTTCTCAAAAACTGGTTAAGAAAGGCTACATTAAGAAATATTTATTAAACTTCTAATATGAGACACCCACTACACTAATTGATAGAACAAAAAAGCTTTGTAAGCCATAACCCTTTCTCTTAAAGAATTTACATTTTACTTTATGAGATATGAAATAATCTGATGAAAGATCTGGAAAATAATCAATGGAATTTGAGATTGAATTATGCAGCATCAACTTGAAATTTGAAAGTAAAAAAAACTATGTGAACTTCATCAATAATAGAGGTCTTCAAGGAGAAGGTAGATTTAAGTTGAAACCTTAATTTAGATTTAAATGAAAATTGAAAATAGACAATGAATTATCTATGAATTGTGAGGAAGTGAGGAGGCATTCAGGACAAGGAAGAGGAAAGCCATAAGACAGTAATAAGCAAATCAGGTGATAGAACCAAGAGTCACAAGCAAATCATTTAAATAATCCAAATATCAAATTTCTTAACTATTAAAAAAATAGGGAAAATGTCAGTCTCACAGGGTTGTGGCAAAGAACAAGTTTGTGAAGATAATGTATGTGAAGGTACTGGGAAATATAGAGACAGTAAGGGCTCCTGGTAAATAGGATAGGATTCTTAGGATAAAGACAGCTTAGGAAGGTTTTTGCCATTTGCCTCTTTCTCATTAAAATGGCATGCAGATTATTCAGCATCCTCTATGCTGTACAGCATGAATTATTTCTAGAAGATTAATCACCAAATCAAATGCAAAAGCATCCTTCTACCAAGTTTTTTCTTGTCTTTGATGAAATCACTGGGTTCACTGCTTTTATCAGTTTTCATTTGGATAATATTTAAAATGCTCTTTTATCCCAATTTGAATACCCTCAATCAATGTCAGCCTCTTTTAATTTGGTTTAAGATTACAGGAAAACATCATGACCCTATAGATTTTTCCACCACAACTATTAAGAACAATGGAGCCAGACATATTTTAACAACAAAAGAACATGAATGGAGTTTGCCTTTTGACTTATCATTTAAGTCCTGGGTTTCAGATCATGATAAATATTTCAGAATGGGGTAATCCTGGATCATGATTATAAAGTATATCAAGGCTGCAACACAAGTGCTGCTGGGATTTTTTAAAGGGAAACATTCTTATGAGTCTTGAAGTCTCAATGAAGAATGGAAGATTTGAATGAGTTTTCCTGGATGATCATGATTCGGTTAGGTGAAGGAGTGGAGAAGGCAACAATCTGCAGGAAGAATAATCCTGGAATGTTTAGAAAATCCAGGAGGGGCTTTACTGAAATGGAAATCTAATACTGGAGAACAATGAGAAATAAAGTTGGATAGTTACAGTTAAGTTGAATGAGTAACTAATTCAGTCACCACACACACCCTATTTTAATTTCTTAAGCATATTCTGAGGGTCTCAAGGACCCACAGGAAAAAAAAAAGCATAAGTCCTTTTAAAAATTGTATTATATCTACGACATCCATATAACAAGGCTGAAATTAGAATCTGGATGTGTTATTTTAATATTTTTAATTGTGATAAAATACACATAATGTAAAATTTATCATCTTAATTATTTTTAAGTACAGAACTCAGTAGTGTCAAGCACATTCACATTGTTGTGACACAGGTCTCCAAAACATTTTCATATTGCAAATCTGCATCTCTATATCCATCAAACAGCAATTCCGTATTCCTCCTGCCCCGAATCCTTAGCAACTACTATTCTGTTTTATGTCTCTATAAACTTGACTATTCCAGGTACCTCACTTAAGTGGAACCAAACAGTATTTTTCTTATTGTTACTGGCTTATTTCACTTAGCATAATATCCTCAAGGTTCATTGATGTTATCGCATGTGTCAGAATTTTCTTCCTTTTTAAGACTGAGTAATATTCCATTGTATGTATATATCACATTTGGTGTATTCATTCATTCATTGATGAACACTTAAATTGCTTCCACCTTGTGGCCATTGTGAATAAAAGCTGCAGTGAACATGGGTGTACAAACATCTCTTCAAGACCCTGTTTTCAGTTGTTTTAGGTATATACCCAGAAGCAGAATTGCTGGATCATATGGTAATTCTATCTTCAATTTTTTGAAGAATCATTATACTGTTTTCCATAGCAGCTATACCACTATACATTCCCACCATCAGTGCACAGGGATTCCAACTTTCTCACAACCTTGCCAACACATTATTTCCTGTTGCTTTGATACTAGCTATCCTAATAAGTTTGAGATTATTTTAGTATTGCCAAATATTGTGATTTATCCTACTTGCAAGCTAAAAGTTGGCCAGCTACAATTCATGGATGCTGGAAGAAGGCATGAGGTTAAATATAAAGGACAGCAATAGCAATAGCCAGAATATCAGATATATTACCTAAGAGGAACTCCAACTTTAGAGAACCCAAATCTCACATAATAGGCAATAAACCTGTCTGACTTTTGCCCTAGAAAGTCATAATTTTTATTATGGTGGACAATAGACAAACCTGACCTTTGCCCTGGGGGGAGACACTATTTCTGTCTTCCAAGGCTGTTTACTTTACAAATATCTTTAAAAAGATAGTCCAGGGAAAAAAAGGCAGTCAGTATATTTGCTTGTAAGATTTACCTAAATGAGAGACCCATTGAAAGCGTGCCATAATGAGTAACTTCACATATTTTTAACATTAGTACTGCATAAGAAAACATTTATTCCTATAAATCAGATATGAATAGTAATCTATAAATTGAGGTTTGCAAAAATTAGGTTTTTTTAATTAAATTAGATCATAATGCAAGCCCTCATTCTGCCATAATTACTAGAAATCTAACTTCAGTTATCTGATCAATGGTGAGAATTTGGAAGTGGTAAGGGAGGGAAGGTGGAGGTCCACTCCCAATTAAACTTTTTTAAAAACTAGAAAAGTTTTAGTGTCTGGAAAATGAAGTAATATCCTGTAGCCTTAAACCTATTATTGTGTTTAATATATATGTATCCTTGGCTTAAATGAGCAAGACTAATAAAATCCAGAAACAGCCTCATTATTTTTCCTGTGCCCATCCCTATAAGCCAATCTGTAGGGCTAGTTCCTCCCATCTCCCCAGAAAAAAAACTCAAGTAAGCCTCAACATTTTTTGGTTATTCTCAGATACTAAAAAGTTCTCCAGTCACTTTAGTTGTGAATAAGTCTCAATTTAGTAAGTAATGTATCCAATATTATATAATAATCAAAGTACTAAATGTAATTTAAGGTTGAAACTTTTAACCCCTGCCCTCATCCTACAGCTCTACTTTACTACAAGGAAGGCTCTTCAATGGGAAAATGAGGATGATAGACTTTGTCTCTATTTCCTACCTTACGCCTCCAGTTAACATGGTTCTTAACACATCTAGGGTGAAAATAGAGGGGGAGTGGAGGAAGAGGAGAGGTAAGAGCCAAAGACAAAGAAATAGGGTTTGTTTGTTTTTTTAACCTTTATTTTAGATTCAGGGGATATATGTACAAGTTTGTTAACTGAGTGTATTTCCTGATGCTGAAGTTTGGGGTTCAAATGATCCCATCAACCAGGTACTGAGAATAGGACCCAACAGCTAGTTTTTCAACTCTTGCCTCTCTCCCTTCCTCCCCTCTCTGGCAGTCCCCAGTGTCTACTGCTGCCATCTTTATGACCATGAGTATCCAACGTTTAGCTTCCACTTATAAGTGAGAATATGTGGTATTTGGTTTTTTGTTCCTGCATTAATTCACGTAGGATAATAGCCTCCAGCTGCATCTATGTTGCTGCAAAGGATATGATTTCATTGCTTTCCATGGCTGTGTAATATTCTGTGGTGTCCCTCTTTGAGTGGTACAAAGAAGTACACAGATCAACTTAGGAGACAATTCAGTAGCCTGTTCAAAATAACCCACTAAATGCCAGGAAGTAACAGTTTGGAGACAAATTTGGTTAGATAGGTGACTTTTCAATTTAGCTTTGGTTTAATCTTGAGTCTTCTCAGAGCCTAGATAAAAGCCTAAGAAGAAAGCACCACAGGATTGGGTCATGTAGTGCATCTACAGTGTACCTAGTTGTACAGACATTTTCTAGAGGCTGGTGGGTGACCTAAGGTCAAGTAGCCCATTTCTTGACCAGCTTATACTTTTACAGTCATCTTATTTTTCAGTGATGAACACTCTAATATCTCCTAAGTGCCCTCACCTAACCACACAGGAAAAAGAGGAAAGAAACGAAATACCTGTGAATTCCAACAGCCAGAGTTTGTGTCCCCTGCAGTAATAACCATTTACTGTAACCACTGTCAGTTACCTTTAAAACTACAGCTCTTGCCAATGACTCATCAGGCAAAGTGCCACCTCATAGCACAAACTAATCCTTGGTACCCAAAATGCCAAAGAAATCAGATATCTCAATGTAAAGGAGAGCAAAGCTTCAGACTTGAGGGGAACCTACTCACGATTCTCAGGGCTCCATGAGGAAGACAGAGTACTCCAAAAAAGAAATCAGTGGCACCTTCCCTGTGTTGTTCCTCAAAGGGTATCAGAGTCACCAGAAGTCTCCTTTAGGTCTCTTCAGGTAGCCACGAGAACTCTATTCCCTCTTAGTAATTTCCCATCTCCTGACCACCAAATGAAGGAGGTAGGGGCTAGAAGAGAAACGTATCAAGAATGCAAGGAAACTGGATGGAAGATAAACGATGGTTAAAAGGAAGAAGGAGGAGCAGGAAATGGAAAGAACAGATCTGAGAGGAGCCAGTTTGAGATCTTGTTTTCCAAAAAGGCCAGGGAAGTTCCACATTATCTTCAGCAAAAATAATGCCGACAAGAAAGGAAGCAAACAGAAGGGCTGAGCATTTAGTTAGCATGAGTTTGAGAAGCTTCAATTAACTGAGAAGCTCCCATGGGAGAAGCAAGATCCAATACAGAGACCAGAGAGGCCTTAAATAAATTATACCCTGAATATCAACTTCCAATTAAGCTCACTTCTGACCATAGAGCTCTTTTAAATATCTTTTCAAAAATTATCAGATTTCGGCTGGGACAAACAGCAAATATTCTTGGCTCTATTTTCTCCCATTAAGCCAACAATATTGAACTAATCTTATTTACCAGAGATTCACCTAAGTCACATGAAAGTGAAAAACATTTGGGTTTGTTACTATATTTTCAGCAGTTTTAGGTATATTTAGTTAATATGAGTGTCCATTTATCTATAAGGCAATTTGAAACTCATTTAAGGGATTCAACAAATAAAATAAACCAAAATTTTAAACCAAAGGTATACCTAATAGGTGACTCAGGACAAAAATTAATAAGCCTTTTATGATTTAACCAAGGATTCACAAGTCATCTCTGCAGAGGTGCAAAAATGCAGCCCTCTCAAGGTCCAGAGCCACTTCCCAAAGACAGCCAAAAGAGAAAAAGATTCAGACAATGCTTTGAGAGCTGGCAATAGTAGGTATGCTAGCTACACATGGGGTTCAAGCCACATTTTTGTCTGGCCATATTTTGGGGGCCAGACCACTTTTCAGTTGGTTCATCATGGAAGCAGGCCCAATAAAATGCATGCCCTGACAGGCAGGAAGCCAAGCCAAGTTCTCGGGACACGAATTGAAACAAACAGGAAAACAAAAGCTGTTCATGGGAGGGAAGGATTAGTAACAAATTGGTACCCCAAGACCAAAAGGCACAATTCAAACATTTTTCGTATAGTGACTCAAACCAATAATACTATGGAAAGTTCAATTCCAGAGACTAAGACAGCAAAGACTTCCATTGCCACAGGTAGTAATGACAGTATTTATGTAAATGGTATCTCCAGTCTCCCACAAAAAATCTGGGATGCCTCCAGTCACAAATACAGTAATCTGTGACAACAGGCAAATGATACTGGGATGGGAGTTTCCCTTTACTAACCAAGCAATGAGGACAAGGACTTCTTATAAGACAAACTCCCCTGAGAATTGAAATGATCAAAGGAAACCTCTGGGTTCTAGGCCATTCAGCTGGCTGCCTGACACAAGCCAACACTTTGCACTTTCCTAAAATGGAACAGAGAGAATGTCTTCAATGGTCACAAAGCCAAGATCTCAGGATATAAAACAAAAGAGAATCTCAGGATATAAGACAAAAGGAGAATCTCATCCAGTTTTTGACTCAGTTACCTACAGCAAAGTTAGTTTAACTAAACAGAAGTCTGGTAAGAACTACAAATCCACCAGCCTGTCAGGCCAGTTTGAGCAACAACCTTAGAAAGCCTATGCCTGTGCTCCTTGCCCTGTGATTCTGCTGTTTATGATAAACAATACAAAAGACAGACAACAGAAAACAAGGCAGCATCTCTGCAAGGGAAGGGATCAGAAAATAAGACTACTCATACCAAACAAACAAACAAACAATCACCAGATTCACTATACCCAGCAACTCGTACATACGGATGATTTTCTCCTGCTAACCTGAATTTTGGAAAGAAGAGATGAGAAAATTTTACCTTCCATTCTCCACCAGACGACACTACAGGCAGAGATCCAGGAGGGCTGTCCTTGGAAAACAATGTTTACCATTTCTTTGCTGGCTTTTCATCTGTTGTTCCAGAATCTCATCTGCAGGCTCTGGAGCAAGTCAAGTGTCCCAGCTGCCCCACATTGGGCACCAGAACTATAGGAATAATTGACTAAATCACTGGGCACATGATTGAGCTCGGTTTCCAGCCCTTCTCTTCTTTCTCATCCTTCTGAGGATTCAAGGATACTGGTGATATCATTTGATTCAAAGCTCCACCAGTCTAATCAAATGGTCGGTCTTTCTGGCAGGGCCTATCCCCATCCCAAATCATTTCATTAGTATAAGCTATCTAGGGCCCCACCATGAATCATCTCACTAGTATAAGCTATCTGGACCCACCATGAATAACAAAGAACTCCTATCATTTGGGAAATTTCAGAGAACTAGTTTTCCTCTCAAGAACTAGAGACAAACACTAATCAAATTCTCCATTACACAACAATCTTCAAGTGGATGAATGACCAAAGGTTTTTTACCACCTCCCTTGCAAGACAAGTGGTTCAGGATCTCACTCTGGAATTTAGGATAATTGCTATTGTCTTCTGGCCTCGGATGAAAACTCAGTCTAAAACATATTTACATATGTTGCATATTTACATCCTCTTAATCGTAAATTGGCTAAGCCTGCATGACTGCAGAAGGGCCAGCAGATCTGTGGCTTCTATGTGCGTCAGGCTGGGAAAAGGGCACCTTGACTAAGTTTGGAAACCCAGAAATCTTGGCTGTAGCCTGCACAGATGTACCACGGGGCACTCACTCAAATGCAAAGTCCTACCACTTACTCACGGTGCTAGAAGGGTGGCTCAGGCCACCCCTCACTCACAGAACTCCTGTTCCAATTTTAGTTTTACAGAGTCTCACTTCTCTCTCCTCTTCTTACCTAGCAAAATAATGTCAAAAAACTAGATGTAAGGAGAATGAAGTTGACAAAACAGTTTAAAGAATCATTTCATTGCACATGGCACTGAAGAACAAAATGAAATCATTTCTTTAAAAAGTATTCATCCTCTGCCATGGTTAATCTTACGTGTCAGTTTGGTAAGGCCATGGTACTCAGATATTTGTTCAAATATTATTCTAGGTGTTTCTGTGCAGGTATTTCTTTAGATGAGATAACATTTAAATCAGTAGCCTATGAGTAAAGCAGATTACCCTCCATAATGTGGGTGGGCCTCATCCAAATACTTAAAAGCCTTAATAGAAAAAGACTGACCTCCCCAGAAGAGGAAATTCTCCCAGCAGATTGTGCTTGGACTCAAACTGCAACTCTTCTCTGTGTCTCCAGCCCTGCAAATCTGGGGCTTACCAAGTCTCTATAGTCACAAGCCAATTCCTCAAAATAAATCTCTGTCTGTCTGTCTCTCATTTTCTCTCTGTCTCCCTTTGTCTCTCTCTCTCTCTCTACACACACACACACACACACACACACACACACACACACACATATTCTCTGTCTCTGTTGGTTCTGTTTCTCTAGAGAACCCTAAGACATTTTTAATATTGTATAACAATATGCAATATTAAGTATACATAATTTATTAGTAGAAATGTGCTTTCATTCTATGCATCAAAGGAATACTCTGTACTATGTACTTACTTGCTGTAAGCATGTTTGTGGTCTGCATTTTCACATGTGCCCTCTGACTATGAAAGCTGCATAATTACAAACTATCTCCAGGCCTTTCCATTTTCCATGAAGTGGCTTTTTCTTTATTACTTACCTTTTATTTCTGCATTCCTACTCAACTGGCAAATAAATTGAGGCACAAATGAATAAGACTTTCTACTTTAATTTAAGGATAATAAATATGAGTCACTAAATTTTTGTACAACATATCCTATTAGTTTCTTATATTTCGTTAAGAGACACCAATGCTAAAGAGACATGTAACAGGGAATAGCTGTTTAATAACATCAAAGAATGTTAAAATATAATTGAAATGATGGGTACATATGCTACTGTACATTTTTTAAATGTATATTGAATTTCAAAGAAATATTTGATATATGTTACCATTAATTATTTAATATGGAAGAAAGCATTTTACTTCATGCTGTGTGTATATACAAACTAAACACATTTTTAATTGTCTATGCATTTAAATTATTTATGAACATAAGGGAAGCTTACCAAATTTAGTTCACTTTAACAGGAAATCAAATGCACTGGTGTAATAAAATTTGTGATGATAAATGCTTGTAAATTAAAGCCAATAAGTATAAGATAAAGTGGTATCTAATAATATGTATATTATACATTTATTATAAATTATATATATTAATTTTATAACATACATATGATATATGTAGATATCATTAAAAGAAAAACCTTAGACAAATTAAATTTAACAGTTTAATTGAGCAAAGAACAATTTGCAAATCAGGCAGCCTCTTGAGCCAGGGTACATTCAGAGAGATTCCAGTGCAGCCACATGGTTGAAGATTTATGGACAGAAAAAGGAAAGTGATGTACAGAACATGGAAGTGGGGTACAGAAACAGCCAGATTGGTTGGTTACAGTTCAGCATTTGCCTAATTTGGACATGGCTTGAATAGTTGGCTACCTTTCATTGGCCAAAACTCAGTGATTGACACAAGAATGGGTTTATTTATTTACATCTCCATTTACATTATAGTTCACTATGTATAGAGAACCCTTTAGGCTGCACTTAAAGTATGTAAGGAGGCATATGCTTTATGCTAAACTTAACAATTTCCCCTCTAAAATTAAGAGGATGACCAAAACTTTAGTCATTGATGTCACTATTACCATCATAATTTTACTTATTTGGTCTTGAAACCCAGTGGGAAAACAGTGGGTTTTATAAAGTAGAAACAAGCACTTCAGGTTATTTTTTGGGTAACGGTCAGAGGAGAGGGTACCTCCTTGTTTTGGAATCTTCTGCTTACAGGAGAAAAACAAAATCTGGTCTGTTTTAGGACCTATCTACTTCCTTAAAGTTTCAGTTTGATTGTGTCATATTTAGCATGAGTGACTCCATTTTAGTTTGGTCTGGTCTGCTGGGGCCTACTGTACAAACTCAGTCTAAAACAATGGCTCCCATAATTTTCTTTAAAAAAATTCCTCCATTTTGATTAACTTCTCTGTATTAGTCAGAGTTCTCTAGAGGGACAGAACTAATAAGATAGATGCATATAAAAAGGGAAGTTTATTAAGCAGTATTAATGCACACGATCACAAGGTCTCACAATAGGCCGTCTGCAAGCCAAGGAGCAAGGAAGCCAGTTTGAGTCCCAAAGCTGAAGGACTTGGAGTCTAATGTTCGAGGACAGGAGGCGTCCAGCACAGAAAAAAATGTAGGCTGAGAGGCTAAGCCAGTCTGATCTCTCCACGTTGTTCTGCCTGCTTTTATTCTGATCACATTGGCAGCTGATTAGATTGTGCCCACTCAGATTAAAGTGGGTCTGCCTTTCCCAGCCCACTGACTTAAATGTTAATCTCCTTTGGCAACACCTTCACAGACACACCCAGGATCAATACTTTGCATCCTTCAATCCAGTCAAGTTGACACTCAGTATTAACCATCACATTCTCACTTAGGTAACGGTGTGACAAAACTTAGGGCCTTAGTGCCACTTCAGTTACCATCATTTTGGGTTTCTAGTTTCAGCACATCATTCATAAGTCATCATGTCCTCATGGTCACACATTTCTTTAAGCTTTTGTCATTACAGTTCAGGAGAGACCATTTGACATTCTTGAGATGGCTGCATGCAAACATTCAAAACTTTTTAAAGAAAACAGCACATGAGGGAGACTACTATTATGACCATGAGGAGGATAATACCAAGAGTTTGGAGTATGCTTTTTAGCCAGAGTCCCCATGAACCAATCCAACTACAATTAAATAGATCAAAGAATTAGCTAGACAAAGAGTCTACTCATTTCAACCAGGTAGCCTGTTCATTAATCCCCTAGAAATGAATCTCTATAATACCCAATGTATTCCTTCACGTACAACTAGAAGTACCAGCAACTATACAGATACTTCTGTTTAGCCAGCAAGTAATCTAGAGCAATTCAATTATTTAGCATAACTTTCACAAGAGAATTTTAAGTCTGTTGTGTAGCCAGAGCTTTTGCAGTAGAATCTGCTACAGAGCCTATCATGAGGGATAAATTTCTAATCATTGCCTCATCTACTCCCAACCACAGAAAGAGCGATCTAACAAATGATATCCATCCAAAAGAGAGAAGATCTCCTGTAAAGGTTTTCTTTAATCCATGATGTACCTTAAGAGGAGTGGACCAATGTTCTGTTTTTGATTGACTATGAAGGAACAAGGCTAACATTTGTTGTTCGTATTGGTCCTTCATCTTTCATCTCTCAAGGCATAAGGTTGTCCATGTGGAAGTTTGGCTGCGAAATCTTCCACAAATAAAAGTATACCCCAAGAGGGCACATAAGAGACCCCCTTTTTAGCTCTATTGTTGTTAGAGACATAAGCAAGAAAAAATGAGAGATTAAGAGTTTCATAACAGCAGACAATTCTTGATCCATGATCTTGGGAAAAAGCCATCCACATCAATGATGCCATCTTCTTGGGGAGAAACCTCCCTGGTTAGCTTTACCTTAAGAGTTCCAATGGGCATACATTTCCAAGACTGTGGAATGACCCTTCTCAGTTGTGAGATTATGAAGCCAAGACTCAAGTTCCCAAAGTTTTGCTGCAGTGTGGATGGCAAGAGCAATCTTTCTCTGATGTTGCTCCCAGAAGACCCAGTCTTCATATTCTAGATTATTAAGGGGTTGATTGTCCTCAGTCAGTGGACCATAAAAAGCTTTCTTTAACTGGTGAAAATACACTTTGGCCTAATGAGCTACTGTTACAACATCAGCCCTCTTGCCTAGGAAAGCTTTTATACAACCAGAAAACATACATTGAAAATGAAAATTGAATGAAATCCCTCTATAAATGTTTAAATGGCCCATCAGGTAACAGAAATGTACCTGAAGTTTAGATTATCTTCCTAGGAATATGGGTTTAACAAACCAAACATTGATCATAAACTATTTTAGCAATTTAGGACAGTTACACCACCTATAAATATCATTAATATATGATATATTTATTATATATTATTAATATATAATATATTAATAATTTATATATTAATTTGGATTCCTTTATCATTTCCATGATGAATCATGGATTGTACAGCTTTTAATAATGAAAACTTTAAAGACTCAGAAAAGACAAAGCAGCCATCTAAGTTCTCCCTGAGTCCACATTTAACATTGGACTTATGTCCTCTTAAATCCAGTTGTTTCTCCGATTTAGGTGCAGAGCACTGATAACTAATAGGCTATCGCAGATAATTTGACTTGCACCATGGAGTTTATTCAAATTGCATATCTAAACAGTAGTGGCTGATTTAGCATGAAAATCTGAGAAAGTATTTTCTTGATATTCAATTAATTTTTGTCTTGCTTGGGTTAGCAGTTTTAAAAACCAGTCAGTTTCTCATTAGATTTCTGGGAATTCTTATCCAGGCTTCATAATATGATCCAAAAGTTATCACAAACCTATATCCAAGAGTGCTTACCAGGGTGCTTTGAATCCTTTCATGAACCTCCTTAAAAACACAGTACCCTAAGATTCTATGTGCTTGTGAAGTTTTCAAAAACTGCATCAGAATTAAGCAATTAACTGTAGAAATGACTTTAAATGGTCATAGTTAAAGACAATTGACAAGGAAATTTGGTTATTTCTTTGACCTATAAAATAACTTCACATAATAACCATAACTGTGTAGCATATACTGAGATATATTAGAATTTTAGAAATCTGATATAATTTTAGAACATATATTAATAATATATTCATTAAAATATAACTTTTTTTTGAGATAAGTCTCACTCTGTTACCCAGACTAGAGTGCAGTGCCACAATCTTGGCTCACTGCAACCTCTGCATCCCAGGCTCAAGTGACCCTCCCACCCCAGCTTCCCAAGTAGCTGGGACCACAGGTACACGCCAGCATGCCTGGCTAAGTTTTTGTATTTTTAGTAGAGATGGGGTTTGCCCATGTTGCCCAGGCTGGTCTTGAACTCCTGAGCTCAGGTGCTCTGCCTGTCTCAGCCTCTCAAAGTGCTGGGATTACAGGCATGAGCCACAGCATCCAGCCAATAACTTGAAGAAAGTTAAACATTTCTTATTTGTCACTGCTTCCCATGTAATTCAACATGTCAAATAATCCTATTTATGTCTTTTTTGGATGTTTCAGGAGCCCTCTGTAGCATCCCAAAATTGAAGGTCAAAAAACACAATACTGAAGCTGAAATTTGATTTGGGGAAGCCTGTCAAATATGTCAAAGGTTTAAAATACTTAACACAAATATGATTATAAGTAACCATAAAATAATAGTCATTTTTTTAGCCAATGTAATAATTAAAAGATTTTTTAAAACCAAAACCTTTACTCTTTGATAGAGGAGACTCAGTTTTCCAACCAAACGACCTAAGAAAGATAGCCTGAGACAGAATGT
This sequence comes from Homo sapiens, assembly GCF_000001405.40. NCBI lineage: Eukaryota > Metazoa > Chordata > Mammalia > Primates > Hominidae > Homo > Homo sapiens. Next base: position 118,189,712 of record NC_000004.12, read on the forward strand.
CTCTCCTCTCTTCTATTTTTTATAGTTTACTCAAAGGCGAACAAAGATATTTTACTGTCATTTATTAATACTCCATTGAAATTTTCCTCAAAAGAGAAAACCAAATTTTATTTTTAGATTACTGTATTATCAATGCTAAAGCTAATTGTAATAAAACTTATAACTAAATCTATGAAATTTGTCATCTTTCGACCACACAAGATTTCCATAGGTCTTTTATGTTTTACATTTTTCCCCAACTTCCTAGGTTTATGTAATTTTGCCTATTTTTTAGTCCTTCAATTTGAAATGTTTAAATAACTTCAAACTAGATAAAAAAAATTTTAAATACACATTTTATGTCTTTATTAGTTTCCTCATCAAAAGCATATCTTGCTTTTGTTTATACATTCTGTATACAGAATTGTTTCATATCTAGTAGTAGTAATATAATTATATATAAACTCTAATTTAACTATTAGAACCCTAATTTATAGTGAAAACTCTGAAAGTAATTTTGAACTGTTTTATATCAGTATTTACAAATAAAAACCATTTTATAATTTTTTTCAAAAGATGGTTCAAGTTATTGTTTTTTAACAGACCTAAATATATTTAGCTTTTCTGTACAATATAAAAAAAGTCAAGGTATATAGAATTAAACTCATGTTTAATAAGTAATATTTCAGTTTTTAACTTACAAATGATTCAGATATTTTATGTCTATGTGTTAATTAATTTAGCATAGTATGTAAGATTTGAAATGACTGAAATAAATTTTGAAACTATGACACAGGTACCTTCCCTAATGTCTTCCCCAGTCATCTTGGGTCCCAAGTAGCCATGTGGCATCCAGGAGGACTATGAAGGGTAGGGCCTGTCTGAGTCCTGAATTTGCATACCAGGTATAGAGGTCAGGACAGAAGACAGAGCTGTGAAGACTATACCTGGAGAATCTAACCACTCCCGAAGTAACCAGGAGGCAAAGCTGGGGCAGGGAAGAAAGGGCCATATTGGGTTTGACTTTGCTGCATAGTTGCTGGTCTAGGCACTGAAAACATGTCTCCAGACCTCACCATGGCCACCTATGCAGACCCCCAAACCCAGAGGCTCTGAACCAAAACATAAGCTCCACAGTCAAATCAAGCAAGTATCAAATTATATTCAATTGTATTTTGAAGTCATTCCTATTTTACCAAGAATTTTAAAACAAGTTTTATTTATCAAATATTATCACATACGCATAATACATATAGACCTACAAACACACAGACAGAAGCAGATTTTATACCTTTCTTAAAGGATTCTCATTTGCCAGTTTTTAAAGAGTTTTTCTTTTCCCCATTCAGCCTATCAATCTTCCAATTACCTATTTTGTCACCCTAAGCCATTGTTAACTAGGCAACAAATTTGCATTTCTAAAGGGAAAACTCTTAGGTGAAGCAAGAAAATTTCTATTTCAAAAGCACAGAGCTAACACTTTAGGCCTAAATACAGTACCATTTGCTCAAACCAAGGGGAAAGTGGTGTAAGTAAAAGTTAAGTTAGATAAGACGGCCAGAAAAGCACCTTAAACAGATATATGACTTGTGCAAATTAAAACAATGGGAAGAGTTTCTAATGTACATAGGCAGACATCTTACAAATGGAGATTTCCTTTATAGGTGTGAATTTCTTTTACAAAAGGGTTTCAGGAAAGCCAGTTAAATTCCAGAAAGGTGTATTCCAGTTTGATAGGTGGTGATCTTTTAAACTTAGCTATTGTTTCTTAGCTAAAATTACTGAGTTCAGGATGGAGTCCATTAAGGAATAGAGCAAAGAAAGCATTCTCTAGGCCTGGACTCAGCATGGATGGGTCTGAAAAAGCAAGGCTACTTTTCCCAAGGGCCTACTTAATTTTTGTGGGTATATAGTAGGTGTATATGGGGTACATGAGATGTATTGAAACAGGAATGCAATGTGTAATAATTACATAATGGAAAATGGGAATTGCATCCCCTCAAGCATTTGTGTAAAAAACAATTCAATTATGCTCTTTTAGTAATTTAAAAACATACAATTAAAATATTATTGACTATTGTCACCTTGCTGTACTATCAAATACTAGTTTGATAGTAGGATTGCTGAATCATACGGTAAGCCTATTTTAAGTTTTCTGAGGAATCTCCAAACTGTTCTCCACAGTAGTTGTACTAATTTACATTCCCACCAATAATGTATGAGGGTTCTCTTTTCTCCAATTCCTCACCAGCATTTATTATTGACTGTCTTTTGGATATAAGCCATTTTAACTAGGGTCAGATAATATCTCACTGTAGTTTTGATTTGCACTTCTCTGATGATCAATGATGTTGAGCACTTTTTCATATGCCTATTTGCTGTTTCTATACCTTCCTTTGAGAAATGTCTTTTCAAATCCTTTGCACATTTTTTATCAAATTATTATATTTTTTCCTACAGTGCTGTTTGAGCTACTTATACATTCCGCTTATTAATCCCTTGTCAGATGGGGAGTTTACAAATATTTTCTCCCATTCTGTGGGTAGTCTCTTCACTTTGTTGATTGTTTCCTTCACTGTGCAGAAGCTTTTTAGCTTAATGTGATCCCATTTGTCTATTTTTGGTTGGTTGCCTGTGCTTGTGGGGTATTACTCAAGAAATTTTGCCCAGATCAATGTCTTAGAGAGTTCCCCAATGTTTTCTTGTAGTAGTTTCACAGTTTGAGGTCTCAGGTTTAAGTCTTTAATCCATTTTGATTTGATTTTTTTATGTGGCGAGAGATAGGCATCTAGTTTCATTCTTCTGCATATGGATATCCAGTTTTTCCAGCACTATTTATTGAAGAGATTGTCTTTTCCCCAGTGTATGTTCTTGACACCTTTGTCAAAAATGAGTTTACTGTAGGTGTATGAATTTGTTTCTGGGTTCTCTATTCTGTTTCATTGATGTATTTGTCTGTTTTAATGCCAACAACATGCTGTTTTGGTTACTACAGATCTGTAGTATAATTTGTTTTTTGTGGGTTTTTTTTTTTGTTTTTATTGTTTCCACTTTATTGCTCTAGCATGGAACTTCAGGCAAGCCTGGACCTTCATCAACATGCAAAGAAGAGGCTGAGGGGGTTTGGGGACACAACCTGGCTGAGAGGGAAAACTGACAGGGGAAATACCAGAACGGGGGACAGGGGGTGGTCACCATGACACCAGGAGACAGCATCAGCCATGCCATCTGGGGTGAGGAAGGGAACAGAGAAGAAATGGTGTTTCTTCCCATGTCCCTAACACCCACATGGAGGCCACATTTGGAAATGGACTGGGAGAGGGAAAGGATGAGGAAAACAGCTGCCCAGGAGTCTCCTTCTCCACCCTGGGTTCATATCAGACCCCATCCCTACCACTTGCCTCTTCTACCCCTGGAAAATGGACCTAACAAACAGAAGGAGCAAAATAAATTAACACTCTAATGAGCATGTATGGATGGACATATGTTCATGTGCAATGGGGGAAGGGAAGAGGGGGTGACACCACCTAAAATGATTCCCCACCTCAATCTCCCAGCCTACTCCTTTCCCCCTTCCCCCTAAAGCCACCATCCAACCAGATAGAAAAATAAAGGTCTAATTCACTCAAAATTCTTCAGTTTTTACAAAACTAACAGGGCAGAGTAGGGAGACGGGGGGCAGGCAGCCACAGGAGTAGGGCTGGTGGAGAGGGGCTATGCTTCTGTCTCCACTTGAGACTGGCTCTCTGTGGTGTTGCTCTTCTGCTCCTCCATCTCTGTGTCAGTGAGATTGTCTCCTGAGGAAGCCTCTGCCTTGGCCTTGTTCTCTTCCTCAGCCAGCCTCTCAAACGTGTTGGCGTAGAGCGTCTTCTCCCAGGCAAGCTGCCTGCAGATCTGCTGCTGGCACACAGCCAGCTGGGCCTTGGCGGCTTCGTTGTTGGGGTAGAGCTGCAAGACCTTCTGGAAGTCAGCCTGTGCCAGTTCAAAGTCATTCACAGCCAGGTGGGCCTCTCCCCAATGGAAGAGGCCCTTCTCGTTGTTGCTGCCCAGTTCCAGGGCCTTGTTACAGCTTTCAGTGGCAGCAGAGAAGGCCTGTAGTTTCAGATGACACATGGCCAGGTTGAGGTAAGAGGCCAGTTGAAGGGCCTGTGCCTTCTGTGTTTCCTCATTGGAAAAACTAGACTCATATTCTACCCAGGACACAATCCTCTTATATTATAGTAAAGCTTGCTTGTATTTGCCTTCCTTGAAGTACACAGTGTCCCACTCTTTCACTGTGGTGCTCTGCTCCAGCTTCTCTTCTGAATTCATCTCCCAAGACTCCTTGGTCTTTTCAAAACTCTTGAGGTGTAATTCATATTTCAGCTAGGCATTTGGTGGGATTTGGAACTTTTCCTTCCTAACACTGCCAAAAGCATAGCTGGGTTTGAGGTACACAATGGAATGTTCTCCTTTCTACATGCACTGAATGGCCCTCTCCAGACCATAAGGCAGATCCAGATTCTCCTGATGTTCAAAGAACTAGTCCTTGTAGCACCCTTCCAGTGCAATCTCCATGATAGCACCCTCATTGGGCCTGGGATAGCCTTCACCGCAAGTCTGTAATTCTGTAGATGATTCCGCCATCTTCTTCTTCCGTCAGATCTTCTCCCTTAAACTCAAACAACTCCACCTCAAACACGAGTGTGGCATTGGGGAGATCTTTGGAGGACTGCCTGCTGCACCGAAGGCATATTCTGGTTTGCAGGTGATATGGCACACCTCCCCTGCCTTCATGGCTGCTATGGCAATGTCCCAAGCCTTGTTGACCTCCCCTTTTCCCAGGTCAAAGGAGAATTTGTCCTTGTGATCCAGACTGGGGTCAAAGTTTGTGCCATCTAACAGCCAGCCAGTGTAGTGGACAAAGATTCAGTCCCCAATCATGGGCATCTCTGTACCTGTGCCCTCTCTCGATGACCTTCAGCATGCCTTCCTCCTGTTTGGGCGAATGTCCACTCCCTCCATGGGAAGAGGCGCCAACTGTGTCCCATTCTCAGTCTCCTTCATCTCCTCAACTGTCATCTCCACGCAGCGCACCCTTTCTGGGAGCTGGCACCGGCACCAGCATACTCTGAGCCAAAGGCAGGGGTGCTACCTTCAGGGTGTGCAGGAGGCCAGGTGCTGTGGTGCTGACTGCGGACCACATGGAGGCTGGAGCACCTCTGCCAGTCTGTAGTATGATTTGAAGTCAGGTAATGTGATTCTCTCCAGTTTTGTTCTTTTTGCTCAGGATAGCTTTGACTATTCTGGATCTTTTGTTGTACCATGTAAATTTTAGGATAGTTTTTTATTATTAATATTTCTGTGAAGAATGTCATTGGTATTTTGAAAGGGACTGCAATGAATATGTAGATTGCTTTGGGTGATATTGACATTTTAACAAAATTGATTCTTCCCATCCATGAACATGGAATGTATTTCTCTTTTTTGGTGTCCTCTTCAATCTCTTTTATCAGTGTTTTATAGTTTTCATTGTAGAGATCATTTCTTTGGTTAAATCCTAGGTGATATGGTTTGGCTGTGTCCCTACCCAAATCTCACCTTGAATTGTAATAGTCTCCACTTGTCAAGGGTGGGGCCAGGTGGAGATAATTGTATAATGGGGGCAGTTCCCCCATACTGTTCTCATGGTAGTGAATAAGTCTCATGGGATCTAATAGTTTTATAAATGGGAGTTCCCCTGTACAAGCTCTCTTGCCTGCCACCATGTAAGACATGCCTTTGCTTCTTCTTTGCCTTCTGCCATGATTGTGAGGCCTTCCCAGCCTTGTGGAACTGTATGTCCATTAAACCTTTTTCCTTTATAATTTACCCAGTCTGGGGTATGACTTTATTAGCTGCATGAGAACAGACTAATATGCTACATATCTAATTTTATTTGTGGCTATTATAATTAGGATTACTTTCTTGATTTCTTTTTCACACTGTTCACTATTAGCATATACAAATGCTACTGATTTTTGTATGTTGGTTTTGTATCCTGCAACTTTACAAAATTTATCAGTTCTAATAGTTTTTTGGTGGCGTCTTTGGGTTTTCCCAAATATAAGATACCATCTGCAAACAAGGATAACGTGACTTCTTCCTTTCCAGTTGGATGCCCTTTATTTCTTCCTCTTGTCTGATTGCTGTAGCTAGGACTTCTAGTACTATGTTGAATAACAGTGGTGAAAGTGGGCATCCTTGTCATGATCCAGATGGGAGAGGGAAGGTTTTCAGGTTTTCCCCATTCAGTATGGTTTTAGCTATGGGTCTGTCACATATGGTTTTAATTATGTTAAGGTATGCTCCTTCTATACGCAGTTTTTTGAGGGTTTTTCATGAAGGGATGTTGAATTGTATCAAATGCTTTTTTAACATCTACTGACATGATCATACGGATTTGTCCATCATTCTACTGATATGATGTATCACATTGATTGATTTGTGTATGTTGGAACATCCTTGCAAGCCAGAGATAAATCCCACTTGGTCATGATGAATGACCTTTTTTACCATATTAGTGAATTTGGTTTGCTAATACCTTGTTGAGGCCTTTTGCATCAAGATTCATCAGAGATACTGGCCTGTAGTTTTCTTTTTTTGATGTGTCTATGTCTGGTTTTGGTATCAGAGTAATACTGGCTTCATAGTATGTGCTGGGAAGTAGTCCCTCCTCCTCTATTTTTTCAGAATTGTTTCAGTAGGATTGCTATTAGTTATTTTTTAAATGTTTAGCATAATTCAGTATTGAAGTCATTGGGTCCTGGGCTTTTATTTACAGGGAGATTTTTAATTACAACTTCAATCATGTTACTTGTTATTGGTCTGTTCAAGTTTTGGATTTCTTCATGGTTCAATCTTGGTAGGTTGTATGCATCTAGGAATTTGCCCATTTCTTCTAGATTTTCCAATTTTTTGGCATACAGTTGCTCACAGTAGCCAGAAATTATCATATGAATTTCTGCATTATCAGTTATAATATCTCCTTTTTCATCTCTGATTTTACATATTTGGATCTTCTTTTTTTTTCTTAGGCAAGCTAAAAGTTTCTCAATTTTCTTTATCTTTAAAAAAACTTTTCGATTCATTGATCTTTTGTATTGTCTTCTTCATTTCAATTTGATTTATTTCTGCTCTGATCTTTATTATTCCTTTTCTTCTACTAATTTTGGATTTGGTTTGCTCTTGCTTTTCTACTTCTTTGAGGTGCATCATTAGGTTGTTTATTTGAAGTTTTTTTTTTTTTTAATGTAGGCACTTATAGCTATAAGCTTCCCTATTAGTACTGCTTTTGCTGTATTCCATACAACAAAATGGTATGTTGTGTTTCCATTATCATTTTTTCCAAGAAATTTTTCAATTTCCATCTTAATTTCTTCATTTACCCACTGGTTGTTCAGGGGCATATTGTTTACTTTCCATGTGTTTGTATAGTTTTCAAAATTCCTCTTGTTATTGATTTCTAGTTTTATTCCATTGTGGTCAGAGAATGTGCTTGATATGATTAACATTTTTTTGAATGTTTTAAGACTTGTTTTGTGACCTAACATATGATCTGTCCTTCAGAATAATCTATATGCTGGGGAAAAGAATGTGTATTCTGCAGTCTTTGAAGGAAATGTTCTGTAACTATCTATTAGATGTTTCTTTGTTGATTTTCTGTCTAGAAGATTGATGCAGTGTTGAAAGTGGGATGTTGAAATCTCCAGCTATTATTATATTGGGGTCTACTTCTCTCTTTAGCTCTAATAATATTTTCTTTATACATCTAGGTGCTCCAGCATTCAGTGCATATATATTTAAAATCGTTATATCCTCTTGCTGAATTGAACCCCTTATCATTATATAGTGACCTTCTTTGTCTATTCTTACAGTTTTTGTCTTGAAATCTATTTTGTCTGATATGAATATAGCTGCTTCTGCTCTTTTTTGGTTTCCATGGACTTGGAATATCTTTTCCATCCCTTTATTTTCCATGTGTGTTTTATAGGTGAAGTCTGTTTCTTGTGGGCAACAGATCATTGGGTCTCAGTTTTTGGGGGGTTTTTTGGTGTGTTTTGTTTTGTTTTTTGTTTATTTTTTGGCTTTTGGCTTTTTTTTTTTTTTTGAGATGGAGTCTCACTCTGTCACCAGGCTGGAGTACGGTGGCACGATCTCGGCTTGCTGCAACCTCCGCCTCCTGGATTCAAGCAATTCTCCTGCCTCAGCCTCCTGAGTAGCTGAGACTACAGACACACACCACCACGCCCAGCTAATTTTTGTATTTTTAGTAGAGACAGGGTTTCACCATGTTGGCCAGGATGGTCTTGATCTCTTGACCAAGTGATATGCCCACCTCAGCCTCCCAAAGTGCTGGGATTACAGGCGTGAGCCACCACACCTGGCCTCATTGTTTTTTTATTCCTTCAGCTACTCTGTGTCCTTTGAAGAACTGTGTCCATTTACATTCAATTTATAGATAAGTAAGGACTTACCCCTGCCATTTTGTGATTTGTTTTCTGGCTGTTTTGTGGTCTTCTCTTCCTTCTTTCTTTCCTTCATGTCTTTCTTTTTGCGAAGGTAATTTTCATTGGTGATATGATTTAGTTAGTTGCTTTTTATTTTTTGTGTCTCCATTGTATGTTTTTTGATTTGAGGGTATCATGAAGCTTGCAAATACTACGTTATAACCCATTATTTTAAGCTGATAATAACACTGTTTGCATAAACAAACTAACAAAAAGAAAATTTACAAAGACTTCCTGCATTAACTTTGTGCCCCTGCTTTAAGTTTTTGTTACTATTTATATCTTATTGTAATATGTCTTGAAAAGTTGTTGTAGTTACTATGTTTGATTGGTAAGTCATTTAATCTTTCTCCTTAAATAACAGTAGTTTACACACCACATTTACAGTGCTATAATATTCTGTTTTTCTGCAGACTATTACTAGTGGATTTTGTACCTTCAGGTGATTATTTATTGCTCATTAATGTCCTTTTCTTTCTTATTAAAGTACTCCCTTTAGCATTTCTTGTAAAAAAAAAAGTCTGATGTTGATGAAATCCCTCAACTTTTTTTTTGTCTAGGAAAGTCTTTATTTTTTCTTCATTCTTGAAGGATATTTTCACCAGATATACTATTCTAGCATAAAAGTTCTCTTCCCTTCAGCACTTTAAATATTTCATTCCACTCTCTCTTGGCCTGTAAGGTTTCCACTGAAAAGGCTGCCACTAGATGTGTTGGAGCTCCATTATTTGTTTCTTTTCTCTTGCTGCTTTTTGGAACCTTTTTTTATCCTTGACCTTTGCAAGTTGAATTACCAGATGCCTTGAGTTAGTCTTCTTTGCATGAAATCTGCTTGGTGTTCTGTAACCTTCTTGTACTTGGATACTGATATCTTTCTCTAGGTTTAGGAAGCTCTCTGTTATTATCCCTTTGAATAAAGTTTCTATGCATATCTCTTTCTCTACATACTCTTTAAAGCCAATAACTCTTAGATTTGCCCTTTTGAGGCTATTTTCTAGATCCTGTAGGCATGCTTCATGGTTTTTTATTCTTTTTGCTTTTGTCTCCTCTGACTGTATTTTCAAATAGCCTGTTTTCAAGCTTGCTGATTCTTTTTTCTGCTTGATCAACTCTGCTATTGAACGAGTCTGATGATTTCTTCAGCATGCCAGCTGCATTTTTCAACTCCAGAATTTCTGCATGATCCTTTTTAATTATTTTAATCTCTTTGTCAAATTCATCTGATAGAATCCTGAATTTCTTCTCTGTGTTATCTTGAATTTCTTTGGGTTTCCTCAAACAGCTATTTTGAGTTCTCTGTCTGAAAGGTCACATATCCCTGTTTCTCCAGGCTTGGTTTCTGGTGCCTTATTTAGTTTATTCATTGAAGTCATGTTTTCCTGGATTGTCTGGATACTTGTAGGTGTTCATTTGTGTCTGGCCATTGAAGAGTTAGGTATTTATTGTAGTCTTTGCAGTCTGGGCTCTTTATACCCATTCTTCCTGGGAAGGCTTTCCAGATATTCAAAAGGACTTGGGTGTTATGATCTAAGCTATATCTGCTTTAGAGAGGACCCCCAAGACCAGTAACACTATGATTCTTGCAGACTCATAGAGGTACTGCCTTGATAGTCTTGGACAAGATCCAGAAGAATTATCTGGATTACCGGAGACTCTGGTTCTCTTCCTTTACTTTGTCCCAGTCTCTCTCTGTGCTGAGCCACCTGGAGCTAGAGGTGGAATGACACAAGCACCCCTGTAGCCATCACCCCTAGAACTGTGCTGGGTCAGACCTGAAACCAGCAGAGCACTGGGTCTTGCCCAAGCCCTGCTGTAACCACTCTTTGGCTACCAGCTATGTTCATTCAAGGCCCTGAAGATCTGCAATTAGCTGGTGACAGAGCCAGCCAGGCCTATGTTCTTCCCTTGAGGGTGATGAGTTTCTCCAAGCCCAAGCTCCAGGAGGGTCCAGAGGTGCCATTCAGGAGCCAGAAACTAGAGTCAAAAATCTTAGAAGTCTACCTGGTGTTCTATTGTACTGTGGCTAAGCTGGCACTCAAACCACAAGACGCAGCGCTTCCCATGCTTCCCTCCCCTTTCCAAATGCAGCGAGCCTCACCTCATGGCCACGGCCACCTCAGGCCCACAGGGAGTACTGCCAGACTACCACCATGTTCCCTTTAGGCTCAAGGGCTCTTCAGTCAGCTTGTGTTGAATGCTGCCTGGCCTGGGACTCACCCTTTAGAGCAGTGAGGTCCCTTCTGGCCTAAGGCAAGTCCAGAAATGCCATCTAAAAACCAAGTCCTGAAATCAGGTACCGTGAGAGCCTACTTGGTTTTCTACCCAGCTGTAGGGCCTACCTTATATAAACTTTTTATCCAGGATAGCTTTCTTTTTTGTCTTTGGGACAGTATTGTAACTAAGCAAAAAGATAAGCGGATTTAATTTTTCTTATTAGTCATTTAAGATTTTTATTTGCCTTTTATAAGGAGTCTTTAATTTAAAATACTGAAATACTTTAGAAGCTTCTGCATATCAGTAGGCATCCATAGATGAGAGTAATTTGGAAAGCTTCATTTTCTTTTCTTTTTTTTTAATTTCAACTTTTATTTTAAATACAGGGTACATGTACAGATTTGTTACATAGGAATATTGTATGATGCTGAAGTTTGGAGTACAGGTTCCCTCACCCTGGTAGTAAGCATAATATAGTACTCAATAGGTAGTTTTTCAACCCACCCACTCCCAAGCTCGAGTAGTCCACAGTGTCTATCGTTCTAATATTTATGTCCATGTGTTCTCAATGCTTAGCTCCCAATTAGAAGGAAGAACATGCAGTTTTGAATTTTCTGTTTCTGCATTAATTTGCTGAGGATTATGGCCTCCAGCTCCATCCATGTTGCTGCAAAGGCCATGATTTCATTTTTTTATAACTGTGTACTATTCCGTGGTGTGTATATACAGCATTTTCTTTATTCAATCCACCACTGATGGGCAGCTAGGTTGATCCCATGTCTTTGCTAGTGTGAATAGTGCAACAATGAACAGAAAAGTGCATGTGTCTTTTTGGTAGAATGATTTATTTTCTTCTGGGTGTAAACCTAGTAATGGTATGGCTGAGATGAATGGTAGCCCTGTTTTAGGTTCTTTGAGAAATCTCCAGATTGCTTTCCACAGTGGCTAAACTAATTTAAATTCCCACTAACAATGTATAAGTGTCCACTTTTCTCCACATCTTCACCAGCATCTGTTGTTTTTTGGATTTTTAGTAACAGCCATTCTGACTGGTGTGAGATTTTATCTCACTGTCAGTTTGATTTGCATTTCTCTGATGATTAGTGATGCTGAGCATTTTTTCATGTTTGTTGGTGACTTGTATGACGTCTTTTGAGAAGTATGTGTTCATGTCCTTTGCCCATTTTTTAATGAAGTTATTTGGTGTTTTGCCTGTTGATTTGTTCAAGCTCCCTATAGATTCTGGATACTAGGCCATTGTTGGATGCATAGTTTGCAGATATCGTCTCTCATTCTGCAGGTTGTCTGTTTGCTTTGTTCATAGTTTCTTTTGTTGTGCAGAAGCTTTTTAGTTTAATTAGATCCTTTTTGTCTTGTTGTTGTTGTTGTTGCAATGGCTTTTCATACTTAGCTAAAAATTTTTTACCAAGGCTGACTTTGAGATAAGTATTTCCTAGGTTGTCTTCCAGGATCTTTACAGTTTGAGGACCTTCATTGAAATCTTTAATTCATTTTGAGTTAATTTTTGTATATGGTGAAAGGTAGGGGTCTGGTTTCATTCTTCTGCATACGGCTAACTAGTTATCTCAGCAACATTTATTGAATGGGAAGTGCTTTCCCCATGGCTTGTTTTTCTCAGCCTTGTTGAAGATCAGATTGTGGTAGGTGTGCATCTTTATTTCTGAGTTTTCTATTCTCTTCCATTTGTCTTTGTCTGTTTCTGTACCAGTACTAAGTTGTTTTGGTTACTGTAGCCTTATAGTAGTAGTGTAGTAGTAGGAGTAGTAGTGTAGCCTTATATAGTGTAGCCTTGAAGTTGGGTAATGTGATACCTCTGGCTTCATTCTTTTGCTTAGGATAGCTTTGGCTATTGGGGCTCTTTTTCAGTTCCATATTTATTTTAGAATCATTTGTTCTGTGAAAAATGGCTTTGGTAGTTTGATAGGAATAGTGTTGAATCTTTAACTTGCTTTGGACAGTATGGCCATTTTTACGAAACTGATTCTTCCAATTCATCGGCATGGAATGTTTCCCCATTTATGTCATCTCTGATCTCCTTCTGCAATGTTTTGTAGTTCTCTTTGTAGAGATCTTTCACCTCCTTGGCTACCTGTATTCCTAGATATTTCATTTTCTTTTGGCTATTGTAAATGGGATTATGTTCTTGATTTCACTCTCAGCCTGGACTTTGTTGGCATATAGAAAATGCTACTGATTTTTATACAATGATTTTGTAACCTGAAACTTTACTAAAGGTGTTTATCTATTCTAGGAGACTATTGGCAAAGTCTTTAGGATTTTCTAGGTATAGAATTATGTTATCAGCAAACAGGGAGAGTTTGACTTCCTTTCCTATTTGGATGCCTTTTATTTCTTTCTCTTGCCTGATTGTTCCAGCTATGACTTCCAGTACTGTGTTGAACATGAGTGGTAAGAGTGTGCATCTTGGTTCTGTTCCAGTTCTCAAAGGGAATGCTTCAAGCTATTGTCCACTTAGTATGATGTTGGCTGTGGGTTTGTCATAGATGGCTCTTATTATTTTGAAGTATGTTCCTTCATTGCCTAGTCTGTTGAGGGTTTTTAACATGAAGGGATGTTGGATTTCATCAAAAGCTTTTTCTGCATCTATTGAGAAGATAATTTCATTTTTGCTTTTGATTCTGCTTATGTAGTGAATCACATTTATTCATTTGCATATGTTGAACCAGCCTTGCATTCCAGGAATAAAGCTTACTTGATCATGTTTTACTAACTTTTCAATATGCTGCTGGATTTGATTTTCTAGTATTTTGTTGAGGATTTTCAGGTCTATATTCATGAGAGATATTGGTCTAAAGTTTCCTTTATTAATTGTGTCTCTGCCAGATTTGGGTACCAGGCTGATGCTGGCTTCATAGAATATATTAGAAAGGAACCCCTCCTCTTTGATTTTTTGAATAATTTCAGTAGGATTGGTATCAGTTCTTTGTATGTCTGGTAGAATTCAGCTGTGAATCCATCTGAGCCAGGGCTTTTTTTGGTTAGTAGGTTCTTAATTACTGATTCAATTTCAGAAGTCGATAGTGGTCTATTCAGGTTTTCAATCTCTTCCTGATTCAGTCTTGGAAGATTGTGTCCTTCCAGGAATTTACCTACTTCCTCTAGATTTTCTAATTTGTGTGCATAGGGTTGTGAGCCCTCATTTTCAACTGCACTTCTTCAAGTGCAGTGTTGTTTCTTTGGAATGTTCCATTGTAATTTTAAATTACCTTTAGTAAGATTTTGCTATTTCTAAAAGTGTTTGCTGTTTCCAGAACCTAATACTTACACATGTAAGTGTGGGCATAATCAGAAGATACATTACTCAGTTCTTAAGAAAATAAGGATCCCATTTTTATCTTGAATCTTAGCTTTAATTCTCAGATCCTCTTAATCAACTTAGCCAATAATTTTTTCCTACCTCAGCACACAAGAAAAACAAAGGAGGTAGAACACAAAAATCCCTATAAATTTCCAAAACCAAAGTTTGCATCCCCTGAAATATTGCCATTTTCTACTGGTTTCTGTCTGAACCATTCAGACATAAGAGGCCTGTAACTAGATCCAAGCCAGTTAATTATCAGATTCTGGACCCAATTCAGTTTTTTTGTGACTTCCAAACCTAGTTTCGATCAGAAATTTGCTCAAACAAACTCAGAAAGCTCAAAACACAAATATGTGGAGCTTTGAATTCTGAGAGAGAACTTACCATCATCCCCAGTTGCTGTGAAAGAGCAATGGACACAATGGGCCCTGCAGGTACCTCGCTTGGTCACTTGATGCTCCTGGGGGTCACTGAAAGCTCTAATTCGGATCCCACTTCTGACACCATCTGTTTAAAAAAAAAAAAAAGCCTTAGACAAATTAAACTTCACAGAGTTTAACTGAGCAAAGAATGATCTGTGAATCTGGCATCTGGCAGCCTCCTTAGCCAGAGTAAGCTCAGAGAGACTCCAGTGCAGCCACGTGGTGGAAGATTTACGGTCACAAAAAGGAAAGTGACATACAGAAAATGGAAGTGAGGTACACAAACAGCCAGATTGGTTACAGCTCAACATTTGCCTTATTTGAACATGTTTTGAACAGTTGGCTGCCTCTGACTGGCCAAAACTTGGTGACTGGCACAAGAGTAGGTTACTGTCTATTTAAACTTCCATTGAGGTTACTGTTCACTATGTACAGAGAAATCTTTATGCCAAACTTAAAGTATGTAAGGAAGCAACTTTAGGATAAACTTGATTTAACAATATTACATGTGAATATGTGTATATACACATGTGTCTTTGTGAATATAAATATAAATCTATCTATATATATTCTCTAAGATATTGGCACTTCTAATAAAGTGGTTATTAAATAATATTTAAAGATAAAAACAATGAATTTGATTAGTTTAGAAAGCAGAGAAAGTTAACAGAGCAATTCTAACACAAATATAGTTGCTTATCATTTTCAGTGTGAAATTAGAGTCAACAAACCCATGATTTTCTTAGTATTCACTCACTCTATATCTGTGTACAAGTAATTGGCTTATTATATTAAAGTTGCTTTTTACTTCATTTTATGTTAACTCTAAAAAACTGTTAATTGTGGAGTTTTTAAATGTTGTTCAATTTCTTTTCATTTTAATAATAATATTGTTAATGTTATCATTGCTTCTATTTTCTATGTGCCTAACATTTCTCTAGAGTTGAGCAGGCCTTATCTTCCACTTTATAGTGACAGTAAATTCATTTGTGAATGGGGAAGATTTTCATTTATGCAGATGGGCTTGAGATAGACAAATAGATACTCAAAGAGAACAACAGAGAAATACACAAGAATATACACAATATTTATACTAATTTATCATCTATTTACAGAATGATAGACATTGCCATTGAGTTCATATGCTAGATACATTGAGTTTATCTATTTATATATCATTTAAAAAACAGAATGGAAATCTTCCTATATACAGTAAACCTTTCCCTGCCCTCTAAATCAGGATATTCCACCCATAATTTGCTTATCTCATTGTGCTCTAATACATTGACACTCACAGAATATAGGACAGTTGTATCTACATTAGATGGTTCCAGTTAGTGATGCTAATGTTCTTGTTCAGCTTTTCATAGGTGTTTATTTCTTCAACTTTAGAGACAGAGTTCAAGATATTAGTCATTTCTTGCTGCTATTCTCTGCCAGATAAGTCAATGTAGTACAATGTGAGAGTCTAGGCTTTGCATCCAGATAGACCTGAGATTAAATCCTGATCAACTCTTTACTAGTTATATGGCTTGTCTGACTGTAAAGTGGAGATGATAATATCCACCTCCATAAGGTTCTTCTTATAGGTGATGACAGTACAAATATACAGTACTGGCCACCTATCGGGCTTTCTTTTTTTTTTTTTTTTTTGAGACGGAGTCTCGCTCTGTCACCCAGGCTGGAGTGCAGTGCCGCGATCTCGGCTCACTGCAAGCTCCGCCTCCCAGGTTCACACCCTTCTCCTGCCTCAGCCTCCCGAGTAGCTGGGATTACAGAAGCCCGCCACCACGCCCAGCTAATTTTTTGTATTTTTAGTAGAGACAGGGTTTCACCGTGTTAGCCAGGATGGTCTCGATCTCCTGACCTCGTGATCCGCCCACCTCGGCCTCCCAAAGTTGGGCTTTCAATAGATATGTGTCTCTTGCCACTACCCTCTACAACACCCACAACACCCAACACCCACCCACATTCATCCCCTTTTCATGCTTTCCTTCCTGTCATCTGTGAACTGGGCAACTACATAACGAAGAAGATTTGAATTATATCTAAACCAAAATCCAGTTATTATAATAGAAGTATTTATTTATTCTGAGTGTACACTATTAATTAGCAAAACAAAGAACATAAGCCTAAAGGCTAACCTATTTGGACCTTTAGGTGGGTAATATTTGAGATGGTCCTTGAAAGTTGATAGGATTTAGACTGAAAGACATATGTAGAGAAGCATTCTGTACAGAGGAAACTGTTTCAGGCCTAAAGCACAGCATAGAACAAGGAATGATTCAATTTATCTGGAATATAGGGTGTATGTGGTAGAAGATAAAACTCAAGAATGAATATAGGCCTGTTTTGTCAAGGATTCTGAGCACCAGGTTAAGAAGTTTAATTTGATGGAAAATAGGAGTTACTGATATTTCCTAAGCAAAGGACTTTTGTTTTAGGAGGATTTCTCTGTGTTAGCATTTGGGATATATTAGTGCTGGGAGAAACAAAAGTGAGGAGGTCATTTAGAAAGTTATTAGAGTGGTTCAAGCAAAAAGTAACAAAGACTAACTCTCACACATTACTAGTGGTAATGTAAGTCAGTACAATCTCTATGACAGGCAACTTGGCAATCTCTACCAACATTACAAACGCACATACCATTTTCCTTAGCCATTCCACTTCTAAGAATTTATCCTCAGATATATTTTCGAATGAGTGAAGTGATGCATATACCAAGTTATTCATAATAGCATAAAACCTTAATAAGAACTTGAATAACTTACAGCACATTCACAGTAACAGAATTACAGCATATATATATATAATAAGAATGGGGAAGTCCCTTATGTACTGATTAAAACAATCTCTAAGATGTATTAAATTTTTAAAAATTAATATATTAAATTGTGTACCATTTGCTTCCATCTGTGTTTTAAAAATAAAAGAAAATTCTGGAAGAATACACACACACACACACACACACACACACACACACACACACACACAAATTATATCTGTGGCTTCTTGTTGAATCCAAAATAAATATTAAAAGAAATAAGGCCTAAAGTCAAAGTGGTACCTATAATATTGGAGAGATAACTTATTAGAAGTTGATAGTGGGGGAAAATTTATAAAGAAAGAATATGGACTTAGAAGAACAGAAATTTGTAGAAAGCCTAGTATTGAATAGTATTATGCCATGTTATGGCATGAAGCAGATGAGTGTAGATTTGCGTGCTTTAAGCAGAAAGAAAATTTAAGAAATCATGTTTGCAGAATATAATTGTCATCCCAATTTTGCCAAACAGGCACCAAAATGCTTGGAGATTTATTGTTTCACCCAAAGTCACACAAGTGATGACACAGTAAAAACAAAAAACTTCTTTCAAAGTTTTATCTAAAGCTCCAATGGCATAGATATTTAGACAAGTATAGACAATTGCCTTCACAGCTGGAAGTGCCCTCTTCCTCCCTCACCAGTTACCCATGTACCTTCCCTAACAAGGTGAATTTTCTTATTCAGCAGGAAATATTCCCTAGACATTAGTGTTTAATGAAACCATTTATTAAAATCCGTGTAATTCTTTCAAAATTCTAACATATCCGAGGCTTGCCTGATTCTGATAATAATATTCAAGCAAAGATTTTTAGAAAATTTTCTTTAAGTCAGTATGAAATTTTGACATTTAGTCAAGATTGAATCTATGGTTCAGATTTCATAACCTCATTAAGTCTCCTTGTGCCTCTTATGTGCAGTTCTGGGTACTTACTATTATGTGGAAGGGTTAACATTTTTAGAAAGGAAACATTTATAAACCCTAGTTCTTTTTAACAAGCTGATTTAGCTAGTTCCTAAGATAATTTACTTTCAGAAAGTATAACCCTTTACTACATAACAGTATTAACTTATAGATTGATTTATCTATCAATAAGTTATTTAAGGGAGTTATAATTTAAAGCAATAACAAAAAATAATACACCAAATGTGAATCTACCACTGCAAAATTTTTAATAGATACATGGTTTAGTTACAGTCTTTTATGAACTTCTCACCTTTTATCCCCAGAGTTAGAAACTTCTATCAGGGTATTATTCTCACTGCAGCTGAAACAGCCCTCCAGATGCCAGCAGCTTTGGCAGTAGGTGTCCTCTAGTGCTGACTCATAAAGGTTTGAAATTTTTTATATTTCTGGTCTTTCCCCCATCTCTGCAGAGATGCCTTTCTAGGTATTTTGCTTTTAATTAAGTCTTTATACAGTACCTTAGCTGACTCTTGTATCTGGGTCAGTCTTCTCATCCCTGCAAAGCCCTGGGAAAACTACTTCACTGAGGTTATCTTTGTGACAAACTTTACTTCTTAAAATTTCTTATTTCAATCAAAACAGATGTGGCTTGCATAGGCCCAGTCAAGCCCTAGTATATTCTCTCTAATAAAGGAACAGTTCATGGGTGACTTTGTTAATACTTAGCAAGTGTTCATTCTTTAGCATTGTTCTTTTTGTCCTTTGAGTCTTTACTCTCTACTTAAAGAACTGGGTTTCTGAACCAAATTAGTACTCTCAAAATTTGTCAACACTTCACAAACCCCTTCATTAGAGGGGCTGTCTTAAAATAAATAAATTTTTTAAAACTGTAAATGTTTGAATATTTAGAAACTTAACAACAATTAATCACTAGCTTTTTCAAACCCAGCATTTTTAAATCACAAAATAAATATATTTGTTTGGTATTTTGATAACCCTCTCCCCCCAGAGTGAATTCAGCCTTATGAGCAAATATAGTTAATTGAAACCTCTTAGTAGTGAAGCTGATCTTTGTGATTACCTAAATTTAATTCATTCACATATGAGCCAAAATCAAATTTTCATGTAGGTCAATTTTCTGGAAAGTTTTTGAAGTTAAACACATTTAGAGATGTTTAATTTAATGCTCTTCCTATATCTATTATATTGTGGAGGGAGTGATTTAAAACAAAGAAGCAAAATGCTTCCTGCTGGAAAATAAAGATGTTTTCATTGCAAAATTAATATAACCTTTGTGCTATGCTGCTGCTTAAAAAAGGATGTCTATTAATTAATCATTTTTAAATCTATCATAAGAAGTAACTGTATTCATTATTCTGTCACTTTCTAACACTAAAGGAAGAAGAACAGCTGTTGTCTGGCCTCTAACTAACTGCAATGGGGTCTTTCAGAATAATACAGAAAGAACATTAGAACAGCATGAGCAAGATACACAATTCAAAATTAATCGAAAATTGGTGATCTGAGAACTGGAGATGTTCTCATGACATGTAAATATTTGTTCAGCAGCTAAAGTAATAGCAATGCATTAAACCAATAGAATTACTTTTGACACCTAACAGAAATGTTAATTGATCATCAATCTTTAGCTCGTAATAAAAGGGCTGAACTTGCAGTTCTGAAAGTATAGCCAGAAAAATTATGTGAGAGACATAAATGTTATAAAAAAGACAAACTGCTCCAAGCTAAATTGCTTTAAATTACATTGACCTCATCACTGTACCTTTGAAACCTGTCTCTAATTGAGAGCAATTGATTTACCCTTCCAACTTTCCTTTAAAGCCTATCAGATCCCAAATTCTAAATGTTAAGAACCCTTTGCCAAAGTATTCTGCAATTGAGCTTTCCTTTGAGATTCTTAAGTGATGACTAAGGCACGAGCCAGGTAGAAAAACAGTACTCAGTGAATTTAAACCTTAGAAATTAAGGTGACATCTTTTGTCTCCCCCTGGAGAAGGTGATAAAGTGAAAGAAATTTTTAGCATAAGACCATTGTAATTACACAAAAACATGAAAGATAATAGACACCAAAATGAGCTGTGAGAGGGACAAACATGCCAAAATTTCTAACACCTACCCACACCCAGAATAAAAATGTCAAGTTCCTGGAAATTAAGGAGGATTTGTGGGGAGGATTTTTGGAAAGAGTTGTGCTGTGTGTTGAGCATGATCCCACCACCCTCTATCCACGGGAGAACAGAGGGGTCATTGCCTGCTCTGCTGCTCAGCTGAGCTCTGGCTTGAGGGTCACTGAGACCATCAGAGAGCTTAAGAGGTGTTTCCTGCAGGAGGGGGACACAGTAGGTTGTTGTCTGCCTTACAACTAATAAATCCAAAGTATGAGAGAGAGATTGGCTAAAGTGGTATCAGAAGAAGAAATAACCACATATAAGAATTATGTGCCCTTTTTTCCAAAGACAGATCAAAGGCTCCCAAATCCCAGGGCCCAAATGTGCAACTCTTAAAAGGAATATTAGCCTAGGATCCTTTTAAAAGGGACCCTGCTGGGCCGGGCACGGTGTTTCACACCTGTAATCTCAGCACTTTGGGAGGCCAAGGCAGGTGGATCACGAGGTCAAGAGATTGAGACCATCCTGGCCAACATGGTGAAACCCCGTCTCTACTAAAAATACAAAAATTAGCTGGGTGTGGTGGCACGCTCCTGTAGTCCCAGCTACTCAGAAGGCTGAGGTAGGAGAATCACTTGAACCCGGGAGGCAGAGGTTGCAGTGAGCCTAGATTGCACCACTGCACTCCAGCCTGGTGACAAAGTGAGACTCCATCTCAAAAAAAAAAAAAAAAAAAGCGGGGGGACCCTGCTCAAGAGGGTTCCTGATAAAAGACTAGGGGAGTCACTGGCTACCAAAGGAAGTTGTACTGATGGGGCCCAGAAGTGATGACTCCAAAGATCTCAGATGATTTTAAACATATGCATATGACAGTATCAGTTGAGTAATAATTCCCTGCATCCTTTTCACTCCTTCATCTCCATGTCCCAGATACTAAGGGATCAGAAACCTCAGTAAGCAAGTAGAGTAAAATCACCCACTGGAGAACAGAGCATTGATCAGACTTTCTTCCCAGCCTCTCTTGCAAATTCTCTCCTGCACCAGGTCTCAGGAGGATGAGAGGAGCAGATTTAATATTGCAACAAGTTTGGAATTTTTATTGTTCTTTGAACCAAAAGATTTAAACTACTAAATCAAGACTTAAAGCTACATGGCAACTTTCTGTCACCTAAGAGATTAGGGAGGCCATTCTGCAAGGGAAAACTACCCATACTGAACAAATTTTAAAGGGACAGTGGGAAAAAGAAGTAAGATTGCTTTAGTAATAATATCCCATGAATCCTAATTATTTAACATATGAGCTACATAATTATTTTTAAGATTATTTCATTCATTTTATATTCAGATTTTTATACCATGAATATACATAGAAATATAAAATTTCTAAGAATGAAATAAAAAGATTTTTAAATGTCTTGCTAATCACAGTAGCCTCACATTATGATTAACAGATGTAAATCCATATTTCAAATACTCTTCTTCAAACTTTTGAAATTTGGGAGCCTACTATTGTTAAATGTGATTATATCATCACTGTTTTCATCGCATTAGGGGCTGACAAGGGTTCAGACTAGAAGGAGCACAGGGGTTGGCTCTGGCACTTTCCTTTCCTTCACTTGTGCTTTCATTATTATTAACAGCATTCACTATGAACCATGGTTTCTTATAATCTTTTTAAGGCGCTTGGACTTTTTGTGATGGTTAGCCTAATTAAAGCTAGAAAGTACAGTCCGTAAATCTGTGTAACTAGGCTCTCATAAACTGCCATGTACTATAATACACTGCAAGTAAAGTGAACGATGTGCCTGTGTCAAGGAGTCCCCTTGAGGAACTCCTTCTCTTCCCTCAGGCTTGCCCACATCCCAGAAGAGGGCTTAGTGAGAAACTTCAGAAGGCAACGACTCAAAGCCCCTCACTTTTATGGACCCCTTCCACAGCTTGTTTGGGACCACTGTTTCTTTCCATTCCACTTTCCCTTGTATCAAACATCCCCTTAGGACAGGTAGGGTTGGAATAGCAGCGGGCATCTTTTTGGATCTAATTAGAAGAGGGATACAGTTAGTTGGGTTCACAATGCAAATAAAGCATTTGGAATTTGTATGATGACCTGATGAAAAAACATGCCACAATGTGCATTTTATTAATTGTTTTTTATAAATAAAGCAGATAGAGGCAGCTACAGTCTGGATTAAAAGTAGAGAAAGGCCAGGCCTCATGCCTGTAATCCCATCACTTAGTGGGGGCAAGGTGGGCAGAGAGCTTGAGCAGCCCAGAAGTTTGAGACCAGCCTGAGCAACATGGCGAAACCCCATTTCTACAAAAAAATACAATAATTAGCCAGGCATGGCTGTATGCACCTGTGGTCCCAGCTACTGGTGAGGCTAAGATGGATTGGTAAATTGAGCCCAGGAGGCTGAGGCTGCAGTGAGCTGTGATGGAGACGTTGCACTCCAGCCTGGGTGGCAAAGCAAGGCCTTGTTTTTCATTCATTCTTTTATAAATAAATAAGAAATTATTATATCCAATATAATGTTTGATAATATCATACAACATAGCATCAAGAGTATGCTATGACCATTTGCAGCAGAACAATCCTACACCTTTAAAGTCTACCTGATTTGGACATTTTTTAAAAAAGGATGAAGGGTTTTCTGAATGGCTGACTTATTTTTTCTATACATGAGGAAAGAACCAAATGAGCTCCAAAGTATAAGTATACTCACATGCCTTCCTCAGAATAGATCAAATAATTATAACAGGTTAGCCTTGGGTGCAAGAATTTCAAGACAAGTCAAAATATCATATTTTACCCAATCTCAGGTAACATGTATTTCTTGGGTACTTAACTATGTTGTCAGACACTATATTGAACTTTTAGCATGTATTATCTCATTGAATCCTCACATGTAATTCATCTGGAGCTGTTAAAGCTAACATTTGCTCCCCTATAGTCTGATGAAAGACTATTTTTCTACCTTCCTTATTAGTCTCTTCACATTTGGTTTCTTTTTCATCTGCAGTTCATTATTGATTGCAAGCTAAATCGTCAAAGCTAACACAATTTCCAAATAATGCTTCCCAGCCAGCAAGAATCATGCAAAATGAAAAGCAGTGATTTGACATGAAGAGGACAATTTTTCTCACAGCTCGAACATAAATTGTCACCATTCATGAACTCCAGTAGACTGCTCTTCCTTTATGATTTGTTCTTATTCATGCCCCAGGTGAACAGGAATAAAGCCCAGGGCACTGAGCCAGTGTGCTGAACCCAAGACAGGTGGCACAATAAGATACTAGCCTTTAAAATATGCATTCGGTTGGAACCTGCAATTTCATCCACTTCTAAAAATTTTTCCCAGGAATATAGTCAGATACCAACTAAGATGTATCAATGATGATGACCAATCCAGTGTTGTTTACAACAATAAAAATTATGAGCAAACTAAAGGACCAAGAGTAGAAAACTGACTAAGGACATTGTGATAATTAATAAGATAAATTACTATTTAGCCATTAAATATATATATATATACACATTTTAAAGTATTTTTAACAATGTATAAAATGCTAAAGATATATTGCTAAGCAGCAAACACTATGCATCAAGTTATACCATACATTAACATACACATACAAAATTTTATATAAAAATAATTTATACATAATTTATAATATATACTTTTTTATATAAATCCTATATATAAGATTTTTAAATATGAAAACAATTCAGAATTTTTTTCTTTTTTGACATTTTCTGTTTTTTACCTTGACTGTATAATTTTTAAAAGCAAAAAGATCACTTATGATATAGACTTCAATTCAACAAATACTTTTCAGTAGCCTATTATGTAATTAAATTAAGTTTAACAAACATTTCTTTAATGAACCATACACATGACTGTAGATATAATAAAGAGTACAACCTGATCCCTGCTCTTGATGAGCTCACAGTTTAGCAAGAGGAACGTATAACAAGTCAAAACAACTAATCCTAATAGTTGTTATGAAAGAGCAGTGGAGATACAAAGAGGAAGTAGTCACCTCAAACTGGAAAAGCAATGGTAGGTAAAGAGACAGGAAGGTATTCCAGGTAGAATAAAAAACATCTACCAATGTATGCTGTCATGCACACTGGAATGGAAAGTAAAAGCAAGTAAGTGGGAAAATATGAAGATGAAGAAGAAGGTAGGGGCATTATCATGATGGACTCTTGAAGCATTAAGGTACAGACTCTACAGCTGCACCAGCCACATGTGAATTGAATTCTTGAAATGTGGCTAATCCTAATTGAGATGTACTGTAAATATAAAACACCACACCAGATTTTGAAGACTTCATATTTAAAAATGAGAAATAACTCATTAATAATTTTTATGTTGATTACATGCTGAAATGACATTTTTGTGTACATTGGGTTAAATTAAGTATATTATTTAAATTGATTTTATTCAATTATTATTATTTTTCATAATGTGGCTACTAAACATATATTTTAAATTATACACATGACTCACAGTATGTATCTACTGGACAGCATTGTTCTAGAGGATAGATTAGAGGAACACAGTTCTGGAAGGAGGAAGACCAGTTAGAAAGCTTTTAAAGAACCCAGGTAAGATTCAATGAAAGATTAAACCAGGCAAGTGCAAATAGGGATAGAGAGGATCCGTTGGAGTTATAAAAGAGAGTGCATTGACAAAACAAGTCCAGTTCAATAAGAAATGAGGATCTGGTAAGTGTCTGGAATGCCCTCAGTTTTTTGGCTTGATAACCATAGGAACAGTAGTAACCTTAGGGAAAATAAGGAATACAAAAGGAAGACCAGATCTGTCTGTAAAGATTCATTCATTCAAATATTATTTATTGAGCATCTACCATGTGCTAGTTATTATTTAGCTGGTTAGGTGCTAGGAAACTAGCAGTGATGAAGCAGATGAGGTCCCTGCTCTCCTGGAGCTTACTTACACTCTATTACAAGCACATAAAGAGCTCAATTTAGCCATGTTTAAAGTGAGATGGCTATGGCACATTCAGATAAAAATGTCAACTAGACATTTAAGTATAAAATTTAGGAGAAAGATAGGAATGGTAGTTTGAGATCTGGGGATCATTGTGGTGATTCCACCTAGAGACAGCATGTAAAAAACAAAACCCTGAAAAACACTAGCTATCTAAAGGTAATGTGGAGAAGGAAGAATCAGTGAAAAATATAGATAGAGGAGAACTAGGAGAAAACAGTGTCAAAAAAGCCAAGGAAGAATAAAATTTTAAGTGTGGTCAACCATGTTCAATGGAGTAGATTGGTTAACCCAATGACTACCAAGTATCCATATGTAGCTACGAGGCTATTGCTTACCTTTTGGAAGGCATTTTTCATGGGATGGTGGGGACAAAACCCAAGTCACAAATGGCTGAAACATGAATGGAGGTGAGGAGTAAAGTCAGCACCTGAGTACTGTTCCTTTGAAGAACTTGGCTGGGTAGGACAGTGGCTAGAAAAGATAAAATCTCAAGAGAGAGCCTAAGATGAGAGAGATTGAAATATGTTTTCGGGTATGAGGGAAGGACCAGTGGAGAGGACTGAAAATAGAGGAAAACAGAGGAATATGTGATAGACTAAGATCACATGGGAGTTGAAAGTAGATGCGATGAAAAGCACTGGGGGATATATTAGTCTTGACAACAAAATGGAACACCTTTGCTTGACACTCCAGGTGTCAGGAGGAATTTTTAAAAGACAAATGTGTAGAAAGAAGGACTTGAAAGAGTTCCTGCCTGATGACCAGCACTCCCTGTTAATTAGGGGATGATTAGGGAAAGTAGGGAGAGTGGAAACTGAACAGAAGGCCTCCAGAGAGGGATGAAAGTTTAAAATAGCTGCTGAAGGGAACAGAAGAGCAAGGTGACAATGAATAAATAAGAAGAATATCCAGTAGTACTAAGGATTCCATTGAGATTGGGGACCATATGCTTATGCGCTATGAATAGCTCCTATTGTGTGTTTGTTCTCTAACTGTGCTGAAGAGTCCATATGTGGAAGTGAACTAATTAAATGGAAGAACTGGCCCAAAGTCTCATATTTGCAGAGCATTGAAAGCAGAAAGATGATTTGGGAATCTGAGGGTAATCGTAGCAGAGAAGTTCAAACCATTGCAGATAGAATCTTGCCTGGTAGAAGAAGTGATCAGAAGCACATTGATTGATGCAGGAAAAAAATAAGAGGGTTAAGAGGTTGGAAGGCTGTCCTGATAAGGCTGGTGAGCTGCTAGAAAGAAATTGTAAATAAGAAATGATGTTTCTCCAAAATAACAATAATATATCAACAATAATAAATAGCTCTTCATTATTAAGCAATTACTATGTGGCAGGCAGTGTATTAAAATTTTTTTAACTTTACATTTAATTGTAATGACAACCCTGTGAGGTAATTACTATTATTATATCCTTTTTGTTTTCTTTTAAACAAGTAAATTAAAGTACTGAGAGTTTAAATAACTTGCTAAGACTGTAGAGCCAGTAGGTGGTGGAGCCCTCTTTCTTAATCACTGTACAGGCCAAAGGCAAAGACATAAAGATATAGTTTATTTAAAAAGGAGTAAGGTTTCACGGAAAACAGAGGGAAATGGACAGTAAGAAAATAAGTGGAGACTAGAGAAGCAGAGTTCAGAAAGAAGAGTACACAGTGAATGGAGATAAAGTTAGAGGAGACAAGAATAAATCATTGAGGAGGCCCACAATTTTAATGGTGCTAAAAGATTACCAGAATGAGTGGCATTGAAAAAATAACTGACCCTAGAATTTTTCAGCTTTACAAATAAGATTACTGGAGCCAGCTCAAAGCACATACAATATATTACAGACAGTTCAGAGAATAAAGTTGAAAGGCCCATGCCAGCCCCCAAGGAACTTACAATCTAGAGATGAATAAAACAAGTATGTTTAAAAAGCACAAAACAAGCCAGGATAAGAAAATGTCAGAAAGACAAAACTAGGGGCTCTAGGGCTTGCATTTTTAAAAACATTGCATTTGCCTTGAGAGATATGAAACAGTGGACATGACACTCTTGAATACATAAAATTGAGCTAAGTAGCAAAGTGAGGCAGCGTATTTACAGAGAGAAGAAACCGTATAAACGAAGCCGTGGAGAGGCAAGTCCAAGGAATATTGTAGATCAACAACCAAGACAAGTTGGCTGGTTTGCCCTGAGCACAGAAGGGGTACAGAAGGGAAGACTGGAAAGATAAACTGGGACCATGTAGTGCCTTAGGTTGACACACTGAACTTTATTCAACTCAAAAGCTAATGAGGCACTTATGAGAGGGCCCGAGCCAGGGAATTATAGTATAGGAAGTTCAGGCCCAGAGCATCATTAGAATATCCTTTCTGCTCAGAATTTTATACTTATTTTTCAGAATGAGACGTGCTCATGTGATGGAGTACAATCTTGAGAGTGATGGAACTCATACATTTTCCACGATGATAAAAATGAAACTTCTGGAGTTTGTTCATTGCCCTATATAAAAATAAACTGGTTTCCTTACTTTTTCTGTAAAGAGTGTTTCTGGTCTGGGGATCTAAGTCAAGGAGAAAGAAGAACATGAAGTAAATTACAGTACACTCTTCCTTTGCCACATAGCCCTTAAAACGTCATGAAATAAAGCAAAAGTGAATGTGAAAGGCAGCCTTTTAAATAGAGAACTCATAAGTTAACATGCATCTGAGAGGTACATGGAGAAATGAAAAATTTTGCTTTGGTAAAAAACAAGATTGACAAATAGACACAATAAAAAATGATAAAGGAGATATCACCACTGACCCCACAGAAATAAAAACTATCATCAGAGAATACTATAAACACCTCTACACAAATAAACTAGAAAATCTACAAGAAATGGATAAATTCCTGGACACATATACCCTCCCAAGACTAAACCAGGAAGAAGACGAATCCCTGAATAAACCAATAACAAGTTCTGAAATTGAGGCAGTAATTAATAGCCTACCAACCAAAAAAAAGCCCAAGACCAGATACACAGCCGAATTCTACCAGAGGTAAAAAGAGGAGCTGGTATCTTTCCTTCTGAAACTATTCCAAACAATTGAAAAGAAGGGACTCCTCCCTAACTCATTTTATAAGATCAGCATCATCCCGATACCAAAACTTGGCAGAGACAAAACAAAAAAAGAAAACTTCAAGCCAATATCCCTGATGAACATCGACATGAAAATCCTCAGTAAAATACTGACAAACCAGATCCAGCAGCACATCAAAAAGCTTATCCACCACAATCAAGTTGGCTTCATCCCTGGGATTCAAGGCTGGTTCAACATATGAAAATCAATAAATGTAATCCATCACATAAACAGAACCAATGACAAAAACCACATGATTATCTCAATAGATGCAGAAAAGGCCTTCAATAAAATTCAACATCCCTTTATGTTAAAAACTCCCAATAAATGAGGTATTTATGGACTATACCTCAAAATAATGAGAGCTATTTATGACAAACCCACAGCCAATATCATACTGAATGGGCAAAAGCTAGAAGCATTTCCTTGAAAACTGGCTCAAGACAAGGATGGCCTCTTTCACCACTGCTATTCAACATAGTATTGGAAGTTCGGCCCAAGGCAATCAGCCAATAGAAAGAAATAAAGGGTATTCAGATAGGAAGAGAGGAAGTCAAATTGTCTCTGTTTGTAGATGGCATGATTCTATACTTAGAAAACCCCATCGTCTCAGCTCCAAACTCGTTAAGCTGATAAGTAACTTCAGCAAAGTCTCAGGATACAAAATCAATGTGCAAAAAAATCAGAAGCAATCCTATACATCAACAATAGACAAGCAGAGAGCCAAATCATGAATGAACTCCCATTCACAATTGCTACAAAGAGAATAAAATACCTAGGAATACAACTTACAACAAAGGACCCTCTTCAAGGAGTACTACAAACCACTACTCAAGGAAATCAGAGGGGACACCAGCAAATGGAAAAACATTCCATCCTCATGGATAGGAAGAATCAATATCATTAAAATGGCCATACTGCCCAAAGTAATTTATAGATTCAATGCTATTCCCTTCAAACTACTATTGACATTCTTCACAGAATTAGAAAAAGAAATGAATTAAAATTTCATATGGAACCAAAAAAGAGCCCATATAGCCAAGACAATCCTAAGCAAAAAGAACAATGCTGGAGGCATCACGCTACCTGACTGCAAACTACATTACAAGGCCACAGTAACAAAACAGCACGGTACTAGTACCAAAACAGACATATAGACCAATGGAACAGAACAGCGACCTCAGAAATAACACCATACATCTACAACCATCTGATTATCAACACAACTGACAAAAACAAACAATGGGGAAAGGATTCTCTATTTAATAAATGGTGCTGGAAAAACTGGCTAGCCATATGCAGAAAACAGAAACTGGACTCCTTCCTTATACCTTATACAAAACTAAAGATCGATTAAAGACTTAAGTGTAAAATCCAAAACCATAAAAACCCTAGAAGAAAACCTAGGCAATACCACTCAGGACACAGGCATGAGCAAAGACTTCATGACTAAAACACCAAAAGCAATGGCAACAAAAGCCAAAATTGACAAATGGGATTATAATTAAACTAAAGAGCTTCTGCACAGCAAAAGAAACTATCATCAGAGTGAACAGGCAACCTACAGAATGCAAGAAAATTTTTGCAGTAAATCCACTACAAGGAATTTAAACAAATCTACAAGGAAAAAACAAACATCATCATCAAAAAATTGGCAAAGGATATGAACAGACACTTCTCAAAAGAAAACTTTTATGTGGCCAACGAACATACAAAAAAAAGCTCAACATCACTGATCATTAGAGAAATGCAAATCAAAACCATAATGAGATACCATCTCACACTGGTGAGGTTGTGGAGAAATAGGAACACTTTTACACTGTTGGTAGGAATGTAAATTAGTTCAACCATTGTGGAAGACAGTGTGGCAATTCCTCAAAGATCTAGAACCAGAAATACCAATGGGATTGCTGGGTATATACCCACAGGAGTATAAATCATTCTACTATAAAGACAAATGAACACGTATGTTTACTGCAGCACTATTTAAAATAGCAGACACGTGGAACCAACCCAAATGCCCAACAATGATAGACTAGATAAAGAAAATGTGGTACATATAAACCATGGGATACTATACAGCCATAAAAAGGAATGAGATCATGTCCTTGGCAAGGACATGAAGCTGGAAGCCATCATCTTCAGCAAACTAACACAGGAAGAGAAAACCAAACACCGCATGTTCTCACTCATAAGAGGTAGTTGAACAATGAGAACACATGGACACAGGGAGGGGAACAACACACTGAGGCCAGTTAGGGGATGGGGGGCTAGGGGAGGGAAAGCATTAGGGCAAATAGCTAATGTATATGGGGCTTAAAACCTAGATGATGGGTTGATAGGCAGCAAACCACCATGGCAAACGTATACCTAGGTAACAAACCTACACGTTCTGCACTTGTATCCCGGAACTTAAAGTAAAATTAAAAAAATAAAATAAACAGGATTGAAGGGAATTAGGAGCCAAATTCACATGTCTGTATGAACCAGTTCTCTTTTTAGCAATCTTCTGAACATCACCACACATCTGTCAGCAGTACAGAAGCCCTCAAAAGTCATGGCCAAGGGCACTTACCAAGCTGTTTTTTGTACTAAGGACAACTCTAAGTGTAGGACATTGAAATATATTTATGAACTTAATAAAACATGCTTGCTTTTAAAATGTGTTTAAAAAGGACTACTACAAAGCAACCAATGGGTTTGATAACCTGAGTTAGATCTTTCCTATATGAATAAAATATATATTTCTATGGAAAATAAAAGTTCCTCTGGGAGAACTGGGTCTAGCCAGGCTTTCTCAAACTGTATTCCAATGATCCCTGCATCAAGACCACTAGGGATTATTAAAATGCAGGTACCAGGGCCTCCTCCAGACCTAAAAATCAGAATCTCTGAGTATAAAGACTGGTGATCAGAATGTTTTAAAACTTCCCAGTTGATTTGTATATATCATAAACCTTTTGAACCTATGGTCACCCAGAAGCATACTAAAGCAAAACAAAACTGGTTGGCTGAGAGAAAGAGTTTGCTGTAACCTCTCTTCTACCTTCTGAATTCTGACTCTTTTCATGAACAAAACTTAAAAGAATGAGCAGCATATTTATATTTGCACCCTGAGAATGAAGCAGAGCATCTGGCAAATAGCAGAATAATCAGAAAAATATTTGTGGATTTAAACTGAGCAGCGTGGTCATGAAAGGCATAGTTTATAATAAATAACATACTTTTTTTCACATCCACATTTCCTCTCCTCTTCCCAGCCTTCTCTAAAGAAAGAGAATACTTACTGCATTGTCAACAGCGTTTGCACCAGGACCTGTATTTTGCTTTTTATTCTTGGTAATGAGCCATGCATCCCCCATACCTAGAGCTTAGTGGATTCACAGGGTTGATGCTAGAAAGTATAGATAAAGCTTCCCACACTTTTCTCTTAGTTACACTTTGACAAACAGTATCTGTTTCCTCTCTCATAAAGACTAATGTATGTGGTATTTGACATTTACCTTTTCCCTTTTTACAGAAAAAAATTCACAGATAACCATCTGGCTATACACATCTATATCTCACAGACTAGAAAGAATTGTTTCAGTTGTTAATCATATAAACATTATGCCTTTGGCAGTTTCAAATGATGTGAGTTTTAAGCAGCTAAACAGTCCTTTTGGTGACAACTAATTACTCATAGTGTGTTTATAGCAAAAATTGTTTTATAAATGCAATTGTCACTTCTATTGACACTTTCCATCTCATTGGAATCTACAAGTATAATAAAAATAATTTATTTTGATCAATTTTCCATCTAAAAAAAAAAAAACAAAAATAAAACCTCAGTCCTGAAGCACTCTTAAAATTGTAAAAGTATCATCTTTAGGAAAAGACTAATATCTGCTTCTCCTGAACTAGCAGCCTTTTCAAGCCTTTTCTTTGTTTCTTTCTATGCTGTACAGAAATTGTTGTCAGGTGAGGAATTGCCAAGAAGTGAAATGACATTATAAATGTCATAGGTCAGTACACAGGTAAGGAAGAAAGACTGTCTAGAAAGCAAGCTAACTTTTTAACCAAAACATTCTTGTTATATATCTGTTTTTGTCAATTATGTTCCTTAATGTGCATACCTTCCTAAGAAAAAAGTAACAAAGAAAGAGAGGTTACATGTTCAGCAAAAGATATGCAATATTCCATGTCTATAGAAAATATTGTGATTCATGAAAAAAAAAAGTTCAAAAAGAAATTGAAATGTATTATGCCTGACAAATTATACTCCCTTATGGCCTTCAGGGGCACAAAACAAATCTCAGGCTTGAGTACAGAGTCTAAAAGGGTCATAAGGTGACATGCGTTACAAAAACATTAAACCGTCCTTTAGCTTATGGTGCACCTTGCATTATATTAAAGTGGGAATATAAAAATAGAATTGAACATTTGGGAAAAGTTCCACGCTTGGAGGCTAAGTAGGTTTTCTTTTACAGGACTAAGTTCAACACCTTATAAGTATCACCTTAATTCTTCCAAATCAGGTTCAGTTTCATGAAAAGCAATGTTCTTTACTAGCTCATAACTCATTTTGGGTTCCATCTGTCTTTATCAGAAAGAGTAGCATTTTTTTACTTTCCATAGTCATGCAGGTAGAGAGTAGCTCTCTGCTTTAATTGTCAGAATAAAATGTTTTCTGAGGTTAAAAAGTGAATTCAAAGGGATTTCGAATGTATTAGTATCATGAGGTTATATAGTATCTCTATTTCCCATTTTCTGTCCCATGCAGATATTATTCAAGTGAAATATGACACATATAGACTTACTGACAAATCTTTCATAAAAATAAAGCAAGAAATTTGAACTTACTAACCAGGTTAAAAATACACATTTTTAAAATTGTATTTAAAAAAATTTTTAGGAGAAAGGTGACCAGAAGTATCATTTTTCTACCTTATTAAGCTACACTGAAAAATGTGGCATGTAAAACAAATGAGTAAAGACCACCTCCAACGACATTAGAAAAAAACTTCCAAATTTAAGAATGATTTTCATAAGTTTCTCAATCACCTAATGTTCTGATAAATTTTACAGGAGAAAAAGAGGAAATTTAAGTCACAGAATTGAAGTTGCTATTAAAAAATAACCAGAAGATTTAAGTTTTAAAGTCTCATTTTTTAAGAAAGACCCAAAATGGTAAAAGGCTTAGTTCCCAATTCCATGACTGCATTGGTCTGCTGGTACAGACAGCTATTTTAAATCACTCACAAAATAATTTATTTGTAAAAGTTCAAAGATTTAATATATGTTCAGGCAGAGTGAATAGAAATGCAAATATTCTTGATCACAATGAAGCTTTTTATGTAAAAGCCTGCAGGATTTGTTCCATAGGATATTACTACTTCCTCTTATTCATAGTTGTTAAGTAATTACATTTTTCTTATTTATTGTGTTAAATATTAACATAACTTTTTCTCTCATCTCTGTCACATTACCTCAATGAATTTTCTTGAATATTTCTTTCAGCCTCTTAATGAATGACCTATTAAATTCATTATTATGATTATAGTAAACCATTGTTACTATTCATTCACATGACATTATATATTTTAGGAAAGTACTATTATCACATGAATTATTTTATGATCTTTTTTATAGCAGCATAAACGTCACAATGGCTTTCTTTGCCATTAAAAATCTCATGCAGAAGAATTCATTTGTCAACACTAACCAGCAAAAATTATCTGCATTCACTTAAAGCTACAAATACCCATTCTACGTCTACATCCCAGACCAATGCAGTCTAACCTGCAGAGTTCAAATTTATTTTATTATAAAAAGTTTCCTGCACTTTCTGTGATTGTCTTTCAATGCATGGATTCAATCTAGGTCAGGTGCTTCCATAGGAAGAGTCAATTTTATCTAGCCAAGCATTAAAGATTTTTCTTAAAGGAGATGTTTTATATTGGGAATAATGGAACTAAGGAATGTGAAAAAGGGCTTGAGAAATATACAGGTTGTTATTCAGCATCAGTCTTATTGCACCAACATGGGTATACAGCAGCTATTGATGTTGAATGTATTTTTTTGTTATGAAATATAAGAAAATTTCAGGGAAAAAATGCTCAAGTCTTGCTGATAACACATCCTCCAGTATGTATTAATATAATGAGGGTTTGAGGGACATGTCCCAAATCCAAAAACACGCCATCAACTGAAACCCTGTGCAGACTACTTAAGGAAAAAAACTAGCATGGCTGTGATTATACTGCCCTCTAGTGTCAAAATAAATGTTATTTACACTGAAGTTCATTTGCTTTTTTCAGATCAGCATTTTCATGACCCATTTGTCCAACTATGGGAATGACCGACTGGGATTATATACATTTGTTAATCTGGCCAACTTTGTGAAGAGCTGGACCAACCTGCGACTTCAGACTCTGCCTCCAGTACAACTGGCCCACAAGTATTTTGAGCTGTTTCCTGATCAGAAAGACCCTCTCTGGCAGGTAAAATTAATTAAATAATTGATATAACCAGTTAATTCCAGGAACATAATTCTGTGAGATATCCCAAATTTGAAAAGTGAAGGCACCTGAAAAAACCTGCATTTTGGAAATGTTAGTAAATTTGAGAAACTACTCCTTCCTAAACTGTAGTTGTATATCATTGCTACATATTGCACCCAATTCCCTGTTCCCTTGCACATTGGAAATTATGGGATTCGGAAAGTTCAGTGACAGATTCAATGAATATAACGTCTTCAATCAGGAGTGAGAGATAAATCTACAGGTTGCAATAGGCTGGAAGAGTAGAAGATGGTAAACAGGTCGTTTGTTAGACAGGTAGCCTTTGAACACATCCCCATATCTCTAATGACTAAACCATATTAAAGGATCTCTGAGAAGAGTTCAGAACTGACATCTGCCTTCTGAACCACGAGGTACACCAACAGCCAACAGCCACTGAATGTGGACAGCTTTCAAAAGTATTAATTGGGGATTAATATGGGGGAAAGCATTTCATGGGAAAATCACTGAGCTTCTTAAGATAAATACCACATGAATACAGCATATTCAGATGACTCTGGGGGTAACCTAGATTTCAAAGCATAGACTCTTATGTATCATAGAATTGCAGGAACAACTTTGAATTTAAATTGTCCACTCCATGATCTGTGAAAAATAATAATCTTGGCAAATAATTACATATTGCTTATTATATGTCAGACGGGGCACTTGACATGTGTTAACTCATTTAATCCTCACAACTACCTTAAGTGGTAGGTACAGTTATGATTTGCATTTTACAGATGAAGAAACTGAAGCACAGAAAGGCTAAGTCAATTAAGCAAGGTCACACAGCTAGTGTGTTGCAGAGCAGGAATCAGTTGTAGGCCATCTGGTTCCAAAAGCTGTACTTCTTAATCACTGTTCTAAACGCTACTAGAGTTACAGACAGAGCTGATGGTAAAACAATAACAATCATCAGAAGTAGAACTCAGTAACTTTTTACCACAGATTGAAGTTGTTAACTCTGAACTTTATACTCAATGCATTCAGCTTTCAACCGTAAGTTAATTACCTCCTGAGCACACACAGATGACTCCAAGAGACATAACTGCATATTTAGCAGGTTAAAGTTGGTGGTTGTGGACTTATGACTGCATATTACTTTTCCGTTGTTTTAACAAGCATCTTTTCATTTTAACCACCACGAAACATCACCAAATGTTAGCCAATGGAAAGACATGCAATTTTCCTGCTAATTCAACCTTACTTTTAAACTGAAATCATTATTTCAGGTGACAAGTTTTAAACTGTTTTTTTGTTTTTTTTTTCAGAAGAACAGCCAAAAAGAATACTCTCACTTTAGTCTTAACATCTGTTGCTTATTAAAAATAAGCAGAAGTCTTATTTAACTTCACATACCTATGGTATTAATTGACTAGAAATAAAAAAGTGGTACTGTTTGCCCATTCCTGAAATAATATTAAAGGGTACTGTAATTCTTCCTCCTTTTCTACATAATATATACTTTGTTCTTAAAATGAAGGGTGTTCTAAATAGGACTTGTGCAGTGGATGTTGGTGTTAAATATTATAGACCAAAAGCAGAATCCCTAAGGTAGTAATTCACCCTCATTATTCCCTTTTGCTAAAACTTAGGACTTTCTAGCATCATAGTCTATAAAGTTACATTTTTAGATATACATTTATCAACCTTTGACGGCAGCTGAGACGTATCTGCTGTCTCTTTAGATAGTAGTATTTTGGCCAGATCCCTATCCCTTTGAAGCACAGCTGGAAAGCTCAAAGTTACTTAGAATAAAGATCTGACAACTTACATTTCAGTTATGTATTGAATACTGAGTGTATCATCTTTTAGGTTAGCAGGAAGCATAATCTCTGCCCAGTAAGCTAACTATTAAAAAAAATAGAACTGCTAGTAGCCAATTAAACTCTTCATGCTATGAGACTGTTTACCCAAAGTGGAAATACTGCCTCTCTCCAGCCTGCTCTGTAGACTCTCAACCTCAACATGGAAGGGAGTTATTCAGAACTTCCATGATGCCACTTCAGGGCTTTCATTTTTTTAAAAGAGTCTATTTTTTATCCCAGCGTTTCCTGGTATACTTTTAAAGAACACAAGTTGGAAAAGCTGGCACACAATGGACACATTCATGAAAAAAAATACATCTCTATGTTCTTCTCCCATTTAGAATCCTTGCGATGACAAACGCCACAGAGACATTTGGTCTAAAGAAAAAACTTGTGATCGCTTACCAAAATTCTTGGTAATAGGACCCCAGAAAACTGGTGAGAACTTTTTATGTTATGATTAACGAGTGTAAATTTTCTGATGACTAGACAATGAGATCTTGTCACAATAAGTTCGTAAACTTCCCATAACTGCTAATGAATGAATAACATGTTTTTCTCTGACATAATTTTCATTTAGCCCAGTAATATACCTAAATGCTTATCGAAGTGTTTTTTAAGTGAAGGGAATAAAACAGATGTCACACTGTTCAAATATCCAGCAGTCAATTTGGTAGCACATGTTTTTTTTTTTCCCCCCCAAATGTTTTAATTGAAAAGTATTGTAATTAACACTTCTAAAATCAAAGCTGATCACTGACAGGATTGTATCAAAAGTCAAGAGGGACACAGATAAGTACCTATAACTCTTTATAATAAATCCCTTCTAGAAAAATAGTCCCTTAGGCTGCCATTTTCCTAATATTGTTTATTTGTAAACTATTTCTTGCAGAGATGACTATTTTTTAAAAGTCTAAAAGATATTTCACAAGCAGAATTCCTAGACATACACAAAACTTTGTGCTAAGAAAGGTGTTTATTCATACCCAGGAGAAATCTTTTGCACCTTTTCTTAAATTGATGTGCAATTTTTTTCACCATAAACTTCTTTATCACCATAAACTTTTTTTTTTTTTTTTTTTTTTGAGACGGAGTCTCGCTCTGTCACCCAGGCTGGAGTGCAGTGGCATGATCTCAGCTCACTGCAAACTCCGCCTCCCGGGTTCACGCCATTCTCCTGCCTCAGCCTCCCGAGTAGCTGGGGCTACAGGCGCCTGCCACCATGCCCGGCTAATTTTTTTGTATTTTTAGTAGAGACAGGGTTTCACCGTGTTAGCCAGGATGGTCTCGATCTCCTGACCTCGTGATCCGCCCGCCTCGGCCTCCCAAAGTGCTGGGATTACAGGCGTGAGCCACTGTACCCGGTCTATAAACTTCTTGTTTCTAAGAATCAGTATTAAAATGAAGCATCATGGAAGCTTTAAACTACCAGACATTCATGCTATATCCTGCATGATAAATTATTTGGGGCCCTTGGTTACTGGCTTCACAGAAAACAGCCTTTACAATCATATTGCTTGCTAAGGAGAATACATTCCCTCTCCTCATTGATCCAGAAATAACTGAGGAAAATTCTGTGCAATGTACACAGGGAGTTCAGCATGTTCATTTTTTTCCTTAATGTCATTTGCAGATATCAATCTGAAAACAATAATAAACATGACAAATACTTACATTTTTCTTGTCCTTATTTATTTCACTTGTCCTTATCTATCTAAAGTCAAAAGGCAACTAGGAAAACATTTAAACTAAACTCTCTTCAGTGAACTCCCAGTCATCACATAACCTTGTCAAGACTGATAACATCCTGAAGGCTTGGTAGCATTTTGCTTTAGAAAGTCCTGCAGGATTCGCTTCCTCTCGTGTTGTGCTGGATATGCAGACATTTTGATATCATGGTTAGATGGTAGAATTATTACTTGTCCTCTTAAACTGAATTGGGTTTCCAAATGTTTGTTACAATTTGGATATGGCATTTGTCGTTGGAAAAGACCTTTTATAGAAATTGATTCTTTTTTATAGAAATTGATTTTTCCCAGTTTTGTTGAATATAATTTACATGCAATAAAATCCACCCATTTTAAATGTACAATTAGCTGAATTTTGAACATTGCACACAGTTATGTCCACCACCACATTCAAAATACAGAACAGTTGTTAGCCTAAAAAAATTTCTCCTTGTTCCTTTGCAGTCTATCCCCCCCGATCCCCACCACATCCCCAGCCACAAGCAACTACTTTGTACCACTACAGTTTTGCCTTTTCTAGAACTTCACATAAATGGAAGCATGTATTCCGTGTAGTCTTTTGTAACTGACATCTTTCATTTAGCATAATACTTTTGAGATTCATGTTGCTGTATATATCCATATTTTGTGAAATTGATTTTTTAATTAAAGTAGTTTCTCATATCAGTTACATGAGAATTAAATAGCTTCATTTTTAACTGTACTTTTGTCAAAAGTATTTTTCTGGGCCAGGCGTGGTGGCTCATGCCTGTAATCCCAGCACTTTGGGAGACCAAGGCGGGTGGATCACCTGAGGTCAGGAGTTCGACACCACCCTGAACAATATGGTGAAAACCCGTCACTACTAAAAATACAAAAACTAGCCAGGCGTGGTGGCGTGCACCTGTAGTCCCAGGTACTCAGGAGGCTGAGACAGGAGAATTGCTTGAACCTGGGAGGCAGATGTTGCAGTAAGCCAAGATCGCATCACTGCACTCCAGCCTGGACAACAGAGTGGACTCCATCTCAAAAAATAAAAAGTATTTTTCTGGATAATTTTGCAGATTTCTAGTTATCTGGATATTCAAGTATTTTTCAGTGTTGAGGCTGACAAAAATATAAAACCGAAGATTTACAGATGGTTATTTAAATGTGTGTCTATGATTATGTAGTTGAGTTACCACTGACAAAATATATATGCAGGACAGTTTATTCAGACCCAAGAATATGTACAGGTAAAGACAGAATTCAGAAACCACAACTTAACAATTTTTTAACACTTATAAATTCATTATGCCTTTTACTGACTATGCAAAATAATTAGATTACATCCATTTTTTCTGTTTGTCTAATGCTGGTCATGAAAGGCTATTAAAAGTGAACAAATGTATTTAATACAATTCTTAAAAATAAGATTCAGAAAAGAATGTTTTCAGTTGATCTAAGAAAGGAATTAATCTCTCTGCTTTTTTTCTCACATTATAATGGCAATACTTATTTCCAAAAAGATATTTTTAACTTTAAAAATGCCTCATGCATTTTTCTGGATTATATCTCATGTATGTAATTGAGATTCAAATGTATTTAATGTATTTATTTATTGTAATTCTAAGTTATATCTCAATAAAGTTTTTATCTGGAAAAATGCCTTTTAAATATTGAGATATGGCACTCTTTAGGTGATTTCACCTAGGTTACCTCGCTAATCCTCATAAAACACTGATAGCTAAGTATTTTCTTCCCCACTACACAGATGGAAAAACTAAGACTCAAGAGAGGTTAAATAATTTTTGTTCAAATTCACACAGCTGGTAAGTACAAGAATAAAAATCTTGGTCCTAGAATTTACCTGACTTCAAAAAACATGCTTTTTCTACTTTACCGTGGATTTCATGTAATGGAGCTTTTTTCCTCCAATAAATTTTAGATATTGCTTCATAGTTATTCTAAGTCAGTGATTCTCAAGGGTGGTTGCCAGAGCAGCAACATAAGCATCACCAGAAAATTTATTAGAAGTGCAGGCCAGGCACGGTGGCTCACGCCTGTAATCCCAGCACTTTGGGAGGCCGAGGCGGGCAGATCATGAGAGGTCAGGAGATCGAGACCATCCTGGCTAACACGGTGAAATCCCGTCTCCACTAAAAATACAAAAATTTAGCCGGGTGCGGTGGCGGGCGCCTGTAGTCCCAGCTACTCAAGAGGCTGAGGAAGGAGAATGGCGTGAACCCGGCGGGCGGAGCTTGCAGTGAGCCGAGATCACGCCGCTGCACTCTAGCCTGGGCAACAGAGCGAGACTCCGTTTCAAAAAAAAAAAAAAGAAGTGAAATTCTTGGGTTATAACAAAGACTTACCGAATCAGAGATACTGGGATAGGGCTGTGCTATGTTTTAACAAGCCCCCAGATGAATCTGATACATGCTAGTTAGAGGACCACTGTTTTAAGGCAAGCTTGTGAAGCACATTTTTACTTTGTATATCATAGATTACTGTTTTATTCCCTATAATGATCTATGATTACAGACAAACTGTTCATTGTTTGGCTCAGATATAATCTAGGAAGACTACCTCTTTCAATTCATTTTTTAAGACAATATTGCTGTTGACAGAGTTATTTTAACAATTTTTCTATTGTATAGATATGGTAGATTTAAGTAAATATTAAAGAAAGCTTAATTTATAAATACTTAAATAGTATTTATTTACTTAAATATTGCCATATTTGTACCATTTAAGTAAATAAACACTAAAATACTACCTTACTTCCATATTAATACTATTTAAGGGCGGGGCACAGTGGCTCATGCCTGTGATCCCAGCACTTTGGGAGGCTGAGGTGGGCGGATCACCTGAGGTCAGGAGTTCGAGACCAGCCTGGCCAACATGGTGAAACCCCGTCTCTACTAAAAATACAAAAATTAGCTGGGCATGGTGGCAGGTGCCTGTAATCCCAGCTGCTTGTGAGGCTGAGGCATGAGAATCGCTTGAGCCCAGGAGGCAGAGGTTGCAGTGAGCCCAGATCGTGCCACTGCACTCCAGCCTGGGCAACAGAGCAAGACTCCATCTAAAAAAAAATAAATAAATAATAATAATAATACTATTTAAGTAAATACTAGCATATTAATGCTATTTAAGTAAATACTATACTATCATCTTAATACTATTTATACTACTATTATTTAATTAGTACTATTAATAATACCATATTAATACCATTTAAGTAAATAAATAATAAAGAAAGCTTACCTGAAAAATAAGAAAATTCAAAGTTTTGTACAAATGGCAACATGACATAATTACTAAGCATAATTAGAGTAATTTCTCCAAGTGAGAGAAATATTATAAGGCCATGTCTTGTTACTATTGCTAGCTATTGACTTGGAATATAATTATCAAGTCCTGCTCCACAGATTGTATAACAGTGTAAATAATAGTATATTTCTCTCTTAGGAGTAGCCAATATATAGAAATACTTTTATATTATGATCTTTTAAACACAGTCACAGTTACAAGTATTAAATACATGGCTAAATCTTTGACAAACTGAACCCAAACTGCCTTACTTTCTCTTGTACCAATCTGACTAAGCTACACCCTTTATCTCCTCATTTAGTCTTATAAAACCCTAACTGTACAGTTTATGACATTGCTCACTTTTTGAAAAATCACACCCTTGCTCCCCAATAGTCACAAATATATATACGTACCTGTGATACACCATTCTCTTCCCTAGTAAATGCAAATTCTATAAGTTATGTCGCTAAGAAAGGGCACCATTTTTTTTTCCAATTTAGCAATTTAAACAATTTTTGACACTACTAAGTACATTGAAGCTTAAGCAAACTTGTGGAAAGATTAAATTCTGTCTTGAGTTTAATTAGCTTTCATAGGCCTCTGGAAGAACTTAATATGAGAACCCAAGTATTGATTTTGGTAATGTAATATGTTAAATAATAATATATTTCATTTATATAGTGCCTTATTACCGTCAAAATGTCTTCAAGTACATGTTCTTTCATTCTCAGAGAAAATCTATGAAATAAGTAGGCAGGTGATTTTCCATTAAGAAAGCTGAGACAGGTCAGGAGAGGTGACTCACTCCTGTAATCCCAGCACTTTAGGGGGCCAAGGTGGAAGGATTGCATGAGCTCAAGTGTTCAAGACTAGCCTGAGCAACACAGTGAGACCTCATTTCTACTAAAAATTTAAAAAAAATTAAAAATTAGCCCGGCACAGTGGTGCATCTCTGTAGTCACAGCTACTTGGGAGGCTCAGACAGGAGGATCCCACGAGCCTGGTGTCAAGGTTGTAGTGAGCCATGATTGCACCACCACACTCCAGCCTGGGCAATATAGTAAGATGCTGAAAAAAAAAGAAAGAAAGAGAGAGAAAGAAGGAAAGAAAGAAAAGAAAAGGAAAGAAACAAAGAAAGAAAGAAAAGATAAAAAGAAAACTGAGACAAACAGAAGCTAAAAGACAAAGTCACAGACAAATCAGTCATTGAGCTGAGATTGAAAGCCAGTTCTCTCAATCCCTGCAACAGGCCTCTTTTCACACCACACTATCTCCATTTTTTAGAACCTGCTTCTATTAAACTGCCGATTATCTATTCAATTTATTTCCAGCAGTAGTTGTAATAAATCTGTTTGGATCATTCTAATATTTATTCATGACTTTAAAGTGTTGATCATAGGAAATTGTGTTTTCATTTAATTAATTTCTGAAC
This sequence comes from Homo sapiens, assembly GCF_000001405.40. Lineage (NCBI taxonomy): Eukaryota > Metazoa > Chordata > Mammalia > Primates > Hominidae > Homo > Homo sapiens. Next base: position 118,232,995 of record NC_000004.12, read on the forward strand.
CTCTATTGTCTTTCTAGGTACCACTGCTTTGTATTTGTTCCTGGTTATGCATCCTTCCATCCTTAGTAACTCCCCCAGCCCAAAAACCTTTGAGGAGGTACAGTTCTTTAATAGAAATAACTACCACAGGGGGATTGATTGGTAAGATGGGTTATTAGTATAAATCTAAAAGTATATGTACTGTGCACAGTATAAACTTAGCACTAATATTTAGAAACATCTAAGTTTGTAGTCACAAATAAAATTTAACCTCTGTGCCTTGGAAATTGATTGAATATCATAAAGGGGCTCAGAAATTTTTCAGAACAAACTCTTCTCAGTTTATAAAGAGACTTGTTATACCAAGAGGATCACATGTAATTTCAATTGGCATTAATTTTCTTTGATGGTAATTATAGATATTAAGTCAGAAGAATAGCATAATATTCAGAAATTTAATTCCTTTCTACTCGTAAGGAAAAAAAATTTTCATATATTTTTCTTCTTGTGCACTTTTTATGAAGTGATGCTACAGCCAACATATGTAATTTTCTATTTTCTTTGTCACATAAAAGGAAAAATAAATAAATAAAACTAGAAATGTTTGTATATTACATGAGTAATCAAAGCTATAAAAAAAACTATCAACAATACACAGAATTTAATTCTTGCCTTTGAATCAAAATTAGAAATATATCAACCATCTGAACAAACACTTAAAAACTAAAAATGTCAGAATACACAAAATACAGTAATGTAGTAGAGATAGATGGTACAAACTAACATGTTAACCATAAAATGTCTCTGAAGGTCTTGCTATGAAGGTATAATGCTGAACAGAGGGTGGTATAAAGGAGTGAATTATAATAATTCTGCAGCATAAATATATTTTGCATGTATTTTAGCATAGTCATATATATCTCTTGTCAAACTGCATGATCTCAATTTTATAATTATCAGCCCCCTGAGGAGCTGCTTATGAGAAGTCCGAATGGAAAGGAAAAGAAATGGATTGAGTATAATTTGAGCACCTACTAGGATTTACATATATTCTAATTGTTATATATTTCACTGCCAATTTTTCAGTTCAGGGTTTGATATTGATTAATTGTGTGGTGTTACATAACAGCTGGAAAATCAAGAAACCATCGACAGTGGCCAGGCACAGTGGCTCACATGTGTAATCCCAGCATTTTGGGAGGCTAAAGTGGGTGGATCACATGAAGTCAGGAGTTTGAGACTAGCCTGGGCAACATAGCAAGACCCCATCTCTAACAAAAATACAAGAATTAGCCAGGCATGGTGGTGTACACCTGTGGTCTCAGCTAATTTGGGAGGCTGAGATGGGAGGATAACCTGAGCCCATGGAGGTTGAGGCTGCAATGAGCTGTGATTGCACCACTGCACTCCAGCCTGAGTGACAGAGTGAGACCCTCTCTCAAAAAAAGAAAAGAAAGAAACCATCGACTACTTCAGCTGTATTTGATCACTGACTCAAATATACATGCCAGTATATAATTATAGAATAAAATGATATTAACATCAGGACTAAAAGGACTGAATAAAAACTGCTTTGGAGGTGGACAGGAATGTATTAGTATTACATTCCTGTCAATAATTGGATTCCCTAGGATGTTTTTTCAAAGAACATATTTTTGAAAAATTTATGGTAAAAAATTATTGCAACAGTTATTCTTAATTTTTTACCATAAATTTTACAAAAATATATTTTGGTCATCATGTGGCTAGGTACTCTAATAGGAACAAAAAGTCCAGCTGGGCACACTGGCTCACACCTGTAATCCCAGCACTTTGGGAGGCTGAGGCGGGCAGATCACCTGAGCTCAGGAGTTCCAGACCAGCCTGGCCAACATGGCAAAACCCCGTCTCTACTAAAAATACAAAAATTAGCTGGGCTTGTTGGCAGGTGCCTGTAATTCGAGCTACTCAGGAGGATGAAGCAGGAGAATCACTTGAACCTGGGAGGCAGAGGTTGCAATGAGTCAAGATCGTGCCATTGTACTCCAGCCTGGGTGACAGAAGGAGACTCCATCAAAAAAAAAAGAAAAAAAAAGGAAGGAAGGAAGGAAGGACTGACTCAGGGTTGACCCAAATAACAAATAAATGTGGAGTATTGCAAAAAAAATCCCATTTTTCAGGTAAAAGAAAATGCTGAAGTTTTATGTTTTATAGAAGTAGAAAAACTTAAGGGAGGCAGGCATTTGCTTTTAACCCTGAATTGTTAAAACACTCCAGTTTGTTCACTAATTCTTTGAATAACCTGAATTTACATTCTATAAATGTGAGCCTATTTGTGGAGCTTCAAGGTCTCATACTAAAAATATGAACCTTTTATTTACTTCTCTATTAATCGAACATCTTTCAAATGCCTGTAAGTGCCAGCAACTACACTAGAAAAATGCGGACATATAGGCAAACAAGAGCTGTGCCCTGCCCTCTCCATGAGCCCCTGGGGCCTGGCAAAATCAACACATTATAGGTCCAAGATCCAGACTTGCTTGAGGAGGTTTTCAAAGCCTAAACTGTTCCAGATACAAAAGACTTCTAGGAAGGTATGGCAGGTTTAAGAAGCTAAAATTTCTGCTCTTTTGTGTGATTTTTGAAGCCTTTTTCAGAACAAGCAAGTTTGAGTCAAGCTTGGACCAAATAAGATACCACTAGACACTTGAAATAATCTTAGCACTCCTGGAACCAGTGTGAGCTTCTACATAAGAAGCATCCTGAAAGTTGGCACTCTCCGTAAATAGAATGTACACCAGAACAAATAGCACATCAAACCTTCCAGAAATTTTTGTATATCTCTTTCTCCCTAAAAGGGTGCCAGAATTACATATCACCAACAAGCCAATTCCAGACAACATAAAAGGATTTCTTTACTGCTCTGAATCTCAAGATATCACTGTGTTGCACCAGCTAAGCTTTGCAATATGTTAACAACTGGAATCCTACCAGAAGCTTTATCATGTTTGAGGATATGATCTCAGTCAAAAATCTATGAACATCTCATGTGATCTTTTGGTCAAAAGAAAACAAGACACTGTAAAAAAAAACAGGTCATTGCATGAATATTAATGACTTTTTTATTCAGTAATTATTGAACTACCTTGTCTTGGTAGCCCAGTGTGATAATGGCTTATGAATTGAAGGGGGTGGCAATGGAGGCTGAGAATCCCTAGAAGCTATATTTTTACAGTCACTCTAAAAAATCCCTTTTCCTCTAAAGGATGTTCCTTAGTGCTTCAGATATATTTCTTATCATATGCTGAATTAGTTACATTTGACAACTTTTATTCAGGTGGAACATTAAATAAAATTCTACATTTCAGTGCTTGAACCTATAGATATCCCTGTGTTCATTCTGCTGGTAATTTGAATTCTCTCTACCCATGAGGATATAGAACATGACCTTGGGAAATTTGTTAGAGTTTTATATTTGGAATGTACATAGTTTTTAAACTTCTCTTACAATTATTCTAAAGAGGAACATAAGTGGCTCTATATGAGAAAAATTAAGCAAATAAGCAATATTTATACCAGATATACTCTGCATCTTTCACACTATGTGATTAAACGTAACACCGGCACAATACATTTGTAGAAAAGAAATTATTTCACTTGCAATAAAGTAAAAAATATTTTCTCTAAATCCTTTTAAAATGTCTGAACTGAACATATCGTCTGTTTTAATACGATTTTCTTTTTGAGTACTTGAATTTTTCTCTGTACAGTGTTTCTACATTGAGACACATTTGATATAGTTAGGTCGATCACTGTTGCAGTTTGATCACTCTGTGTCTACATTTTTGTTATTGCTTATATTTTTTCCTGATATTAAGCAAAACATAAAGAAAATGTACTTAGAAAAACATCTTCCAAACACATTATTAGTGTTCTAGATATTTTTCTCTTCCTAACTATGGAGGACAAATGCTGTAAAGAAAAAGCCTTTTATTTAGGAAACACATGAATTTGTGGGACACTTTTAACATCTTTGGTCACCAGAATGAGTATAAACCAGAATCTTATTTTGAGAAAAATATTCCTTTTCTAGGTATATGGATTTCTTCCCAGTCCCATCTAATGTCACTACCGACTTTTTGTTTGAGAAGAGTGCCAATTACTTCCACTCAGAGGAAGCCCCTAAAAGAGCTGCTTCTCTGGTTCCCAAAGCCAAGATTATCACCATTCTCATTGACCCTTCAGACCGAGCATACTCCTGGTACCAGGTAAGGAAAATGCAAATAAAATCCAACAGGGAGAAGTGGAGTATGGACAATGGAGCATTGTTTTTAGCAATACCCACTAGCTCAGGTTTTCACAAAAGAGATTTGCTAGTTGTTTGATATCTACAGAAAAATGGACAAGTTTTTCTTGATTTCTATTGAGAAATTTCCTCCACTAAGTTTTTGTTCTTATTTTATTAACTTAATCAATTAATTTAATAAAATGTATTAATGCAATAAAAGAAACTAAATTAAAATATAACAAAATATTATGTACTTTTTTATATCTATGCCTCTATATATCTGCATTTTAAGGTAATAATTTAAAATCATTATTTTTTCATCTAATACTTGTGTACTCTATAAAGAGTCAGATTGCAACAAGTTCAGACATTGAGGTTTATACAGTCTCCATTGCAACTCTACCATTGTATTTCGAAAGCAGCCATAGACAATATGTAAATGCATAAGCATTCCTGTGTTCCAATAAAACTTTACTGAATAGGCAGTAGGCCATAGATTGCTGACCCTGGCTCTAAAACAGCTTAAATAGCTACTTGTACTAAAGAAACAGCTTAGTGGCAAAACTAATATATATAAGAATCTTTAGGCTGGGCGTGGTGGCTCATGCCTGTAATCCAAGCATTTTGGAAGGTGGGAAGATTGTTTGAGCCCAGTTCAGGTGGGAAGACTGTTTGAGCCCAGGAGTTCAAGACCAGCCTGGGCAACATAGGGAGACTCTGTCTCTACAAATAAAGAAAATTAGCCAGGCATGGTGGCACACATATGTGGTCCCAGCTACTTGGAAGGCTAAAGTGGGAGGATTGCCTGAGCCTGGGAGGTTGGGGCTGCAGTGAGCTGTGATTGCAGCATGTACTGTGCAGAGGGAGACTCTGTCAAAAGAAGAGAGAGAGAGAGAGAGAGAGAGAAAAGAAAGAAAAGAAAGAAAGAAAGAAAGAAAGAAAGAAAGAAAGAAAGAAAGAAAGAAAGAAAGAAAGAAAGAAAGAAAAAGAAAGAAGAAAAAAAGAAAGAAAATTCTACATCCCTGAGAGCCTAACATGTCTAAATGTTTCTTGTATACTCATTGCCATTGTTTTCTGATGTTGGTTAGAACCTTGCACAAAAACGATCACTTTGAAATAATTTAACAAACTCTAGTAATAATATATATGTCAAATACACTTTTAATAAATCATTGCAAATAGGAAACAATCTTTTAAAACTTGTTTCGGTGATAATTTAACCACCAGTTGGAAGGGTTTAATATGAAGCAGTCAAAATTAACATAAGAACATAGTAAAATTAATAGAGTCAATGTCTTTAGTCTCTAGGACCCTTAGTTCTCATTTCTCAGTTTTGTAACTTAAAAAATGCTTTCCTACTGTTCATGTGTTTATCCGTTCATCAAGTAATTTTAATGACTACCATGTGCAAAGTTTTGTTCTAAGTGTGATTTGAAAAATAAATTTGAAGCTATACTTGAAATTGCTTTCAGCCTAATTGGAGAAATATGTATAAACAAGCATATAAATTAGAAAGTAATAAGCGACTGACATACAGACTCCTTCGGAATGACAAAGCCCACCTGACAAAGACCACCTGGGAAAGGCTGTCGCAGAGAAGCCCAAATACCAGAACCATGGGGCACTTTCTTAAATAAGGGAAAGATACGTAAGGGGATACATTTAGGCAAAATTAAAATGAAGAAGTGTTTTCATAGGTGCAAAGCAGAGCTGTGTAAAGGAGTTATCATCAGGTCAGTGCTGAAAAGCAGACTGAGGGTCCTATTTTCTTGGAAACAAAAATGTTAAGACAAACGTGGAATGTTCTATGTACAAAAACCTCTAATCTGAAGTCTGCAAATAGGCTGGATATATGACTGCTTCCCTGTGTTAAAGTGACCCACATAGCTTAGATCCTCCCTACAAGAGTGGGATGTTCCATTCTTATTGATTTGATTTAAAACAGCTAAGTTCTTGACAATCATAATATTAGAGAATAAAGTTGCTCATTACTGAGTCCTTTTGCTACTTAACAAAAGCAGTTTTTGAAGTTCACAAGAGGAAGAACAGATTGTTGGAAAAGGTTTTGTGGCAGGAACATAGTAGGGAAAGGTCATAAAAGCAGATGAAATCTTAGGGATTTTGATAATAATCTGAAAAATAGCGAGTGGAGACATCCTGGAAAGCTAAGATCCATAAAAATCCACCATTCTATACTAATCATTCACGCCAAACCTGAAGCCATCTTTTAAATCAAAACATACAGCAAATTGCAAATTGCCTGATTTGATTTTGCAACTTCTACCTTTTCCACCAAGTATCTGGAGAAAAGAGAAATAAGCCTTAATTGACTCCAAGAAAAAGAAGAAAATTGGAGCTTGGCAACCACTTAGTCCCTGAAAAATAGAGAATTTACAGAAAAAGAAGGCTTTAAGGCTGCAAGCTAACAAAATGTCCTAAATATTACAAATAAATCACAGTGGCAAAATGCAGGCCTTAACAAAGTCTAGTAGAGTTTGTAGTCCAGTGATTTGAATCTCAATTGCAGAAAATTTGCTATTCAACTAGATGAGGTAAACATCCACAAACTCACCACTAAGCCTGAATATTTATTGGCCAATTTAAAGAAAAGGTGATTTCCTCAAACCCATGGGCCTAAGCCTGAGCAATCCTGTTGGATTGCTGCTTTCTGCATTTTCTGCACAATAAATGATTCTGATTCACCGCAAAGGTTACCATTAGATAAAATAATCTTGGCTTTTAGATATCAGGGAATGTATGATAAAAGCTGTGGATTTCAGATAATGTACATGTCAGACTTTCTAGTACTTTCTTCATTTAAAAGAGCTGATAGGCCTTTTCTAATCTAAAACTGCATTACTAGATGGAGCAAAACTATTTGGCAGAGGTAGTAGGGTGCTTCTCTATTATAGATATTCACTGGACACTATAAATGGTTTGCTTATGAGCTGGAAAGAGGGCATTAACACAGCTTTCAAAAGTTTACTTTCACAATAAAATACATACACTAAGGAAACAACTCAGTAATGCTGGTGAAGGAATCCTATCGATAGGAATTCAACTTCTACCAGATAAATTCTCAAAAATTTACTCCCATAAGTATCATAACTTTAAATCCTGATGCTCCAAGCAAACATTTTCTTCCTTTACTAATTTCAAAATAGATAACTCTCCAGCAGTGAGGCACTTCTTTCTTTAGCTTTGAGACTTGTCACAAAGATTGATTTTTAATTATTTATGCCTACGGTTCAGATTAGTTTAATTATCCACCTTTTCATCATAGCATCAGCGATCACATGAAGACCCTGCAGCTCTGAAGTTTAGCTTCTACGAAGTGATCTCAGCAGGGCCCCGTGCACCCTCGGAGCTCAGAGCCTTGCAGAAGAGATGTTTGGTCCCGGGGTGGTATGCCAGCCACATCGAGAGATGGCTTGTTTATTTCCCCCCATTTCAGGTATGGAGTAATAAGGATTTACATCATGTTAGAATCTCATTAAGTTGATGACTTTGCCTTAAGGTTAAGAAAATTTTCAATTGTTAAACTATTACTAGTTTTTCCTCTTTAGTTGTAAATAATGAGGCTATGGCAAAGAGAAATAGGCAGAAGTAGAAAAACTTTAATTTTCTAAGAGTATTTCAGAATAATTCTCCCTGCTCTATTTGCTGTGCGTACCTTTCCTGATTGTAAAAAGCTTTGAAAGCTTTAGATACGATTCTTATCCTGAGAATAAAGTTTGAAAGAGAACCTCTTAACCAAACAAGACAAATAATGTTTTGCTTAATTAAGTGCCATTATTTCCTTTTTGAACCACCTTGCTGAATTTTTGATAAGTCCTATGTTTTTCTCAGCCCCTTGAATTTCTTCTGCCTGGCATCAACCTAGATTGCAAAATCAGCCCCTCATGGGATCATGTAAGCAATCCAGACACATCAGACATGGTATATACCTGTGAGTCTAGAGCCATGCTTTCCAGTATGACAGCCACTACCACATATGGCTATTTTAATTTATATTAAAATCAAATAAAATGAAAAGTTCAGTTCCTTTAGCCACATTTTAAGTGTTCAATAGCTAAATGTTAGACCCAGCAGCTATAGAACATGTTCATCATCACAGAAAGTTCTATTGAACAGTGCTGGTCTAGGCTAAACAGAAATATCAGAGAAGAGGTATGGATAGACAAGACCTGCTTTGCAGGCTTTGTGGCCTTTAATCCTGGTCTCCTCTCATCTTGCTGGGTCCACCCTCCTTGGCATAACAAGCAACTTCTTCTTAGTTTCTTGAGGAACTTTGTCCATGTTCAAGTTTCCTGAGAATCTAACCTTATTCTCCATATGGATTATCGAAATATTTCTTCAAACCTGACAGTGCTATTCCTGAAAGGAATCGTGAGGAATGACATGTTCTCTGTCAGATTACATCTGAGTTTATTATAACCTTTCTTCTTTTCTATTGTACTTTCCAGCTTGAATGACAGGATCACTGCTTTGTCTGTTTTGAAAGTTGGTTTCCATTTGTGATTTTCTAGTCACTTTTCTAAGCTCTCTTGGTCTTTCAACTGCCTTTTTTGTTTTCATAGTGTGACTTCTCAGACTGCAAACCTGAGTGTACTTAATTGGTGTGATTTATTTCTTATTCCAGGTCATTAATGAGGATGACCTGGATTCTATCTAACACCAATGCATGCAATTCTGCTCAGGACAGTGTCTCTCACTGAATGAGTTTAGAATGCAGAAATTTTTCATTATACAGTTTACATGTCTTTTTTCAATGTGCATTTTTTTATTTGATAATTTAGTTGCTAATTATTGATGGGCAACAACTAAGAACTGATCCTGCTACAGTGATGGATGAAGTACAGAAGTTTCTAGGAGTCTTGCCTCATTATAATTACTCAGAAGCTTTAACGTAAGTTTATATTCTAATTAGTTTATTGACATTTCAGCAGAGAATTGATTTCAAAGAAATTGCAGTTTGGTCATACAACTGTCAGGTTACTTGTTCCTTATATACTGGTTATTTTTCAATTTGACATTAACCACGGAAAAAAAAAACATTTCAACAGTGTGACACAGAAATGTCCTAAATCCTGTGTTAATTCCTAATTGTACAAAGATTTCCCTGAAAGGAAAGTAGAGAAATAAAACAGTGGTAAATCTTAAAACAAACCACAAACCTTAAAAGAAGTTATCTGAAATAAATTCGTAAAGCCTGAGCCTATTTAACAGGCAATATGGGGCTTCTTGGAAGTATGAACAGGTGAGTAACTAGGTAGTTTAGGAACTGACTCTTCTCTCATTTGTGTAATTTTCAGAAACAATGTCATACAGCAAGAAATAGTCCATAGGTGATTGAATAAGCAGAGAGAGATGTACTATTATCGCTCCTAAACAAACGTCCTTTTTTATTTTTTCATCTTTGTCTTTATCCACTATTTGACCCTGTCATCTCTGCTTCAGAGTCCTCAGCAGTTAAAGCACTGGTTTGATTTTTCTGTTTGTTTGTATGGTTTTTTGCTGGTTTCCTCCGATTTTCTTAGGTAACTGACTCTGTAAGGTCCATGACCAGGGACCAGTAAGGAACTAGGGCTGAAGAAGGCAGTCACTCTCGGAGGTGTGCCCATGCCTGAGACTGAGTGCTGTGTCCTAGGTGCCTCTCTTACCTCACCCTAGTGCTGACTCTGGGCTTCACTTAGCATTTTTGAAGAAGACCTCTATCTTACTGCGTCCATTTAGAATAGTTGGCAATCAGATTTAGGAGAATTATATTTGTTCCTACCACATGTGTAGAGCAACTGGAAGATACTGAGTTGGATTGGGTCATGGACCTGACTCACACCGTAAGTTGGTTTTTTTTTAATTACATGGACTGAGCCTTAAAAAAAAACTGAAAAAGACTATCATGGAATTTTTCCATTGTGTTTTTCAGTATAAAACTCAGTTCCACAGATCGAGTAGTTTTCCCTTTTTTTGTACTCTTTAATATCAATTTAGAAAGTGAGAGGCAGGTTTCCTTTACCTTTCAACAAACTTTGCAGGAAAAAAAGATTAGCAGGAAAACATCAAATACTGCTTATATCTCCTACAAATCAAATATAGAGACACGTAAGGGAGGCATTTTGCTGTAGAGGACAAAGGAGTAGGTGGAACTCTGCAGTTTTGAGCTTCCTTCCTAAGAGTCATTTATACTTTGCTGTTATTATTAACCTTCTGACCTCTGTGTTTTCTATACTATGAGTACTGTCAGAGTTTTGTATAGCTTAGTTCAAGTACTAACACAGACACTGGCCTTAGGTATTTAACATTCAACTTGACCTTAAAGAAAGCTGAGTGATTTCAGTTTGCACTTAAAAATTCAAGACCATTTTCTGTTCTGTATCTTTTTAAGCATCTCTTGGAAAAGAAAGCTTTTATTTTCTAAACAGTTTTCTATTTCAAGTTAGGTTATCTGTGGGTCTTTTTTATAGAGTATGTAGCAAAGCATTGTATTTCAGAAAAAAAGAAGTACAGTATTCTATAAAGACAGAGTTGCTTTTTCTTATGGGATGGTCCTTGACCTGCATGCTGTGTATTTGTCCCCTCTGCAGCCAGCTCAGCAGCAAGCTTTTTATTCATCTCCACTGCTGAGAAAAGGCAGTGTAAACTTAAGAGAATATCAAAGCAACATACTATATACAAAGAACCGTAGTCCGTTTGCACCTGAGCTGTATCTAGCTAAAATTACTGATTATATGATTCTCTAACCTGGTTGGGGGCTCAGTGGGTGAAATAGCAAGATAAGATATGTGTAGTCCCTGAAACCACAGTTTCTATTCCAGCAGTGCCACCCAGGCTCTCACCCTGCAGGTGGAGATACTGTGTTTCCATTCCATTTCTTTTTATATTTTCTTGTCAATCATCAATTGGCCTGACATACCTTGTAAAACCTGGCAGTGCACTAGTTGTAGAATATTTGGAAGTTTCATGTCATTGTCTTGGGTCTAAATTGATCATCCTTCACCCTATGCCCTTTGTAGTTGTTTATCTGAAACCTGTCTTCACAATTTAGTTACTCCTATTAGAGTAACTATACTGATAGCTGTTTCTGTAGTGCTTTGGAAATACTGAGGATGACTAGAGGTACAAAATATATATCGTCAGAAATGCCATTTATACCAGTTTGTATACTTTGTACACTTTGGTATTGCTTCTTATTTTTTCTTCTTATTTTCCTGCTGGTGATAATGACGACTATCTCATTGGTGCTTAAAATTTTTTTTTTCTCATTGGAAGTCCTCTAAGGATATAGTAAACTGTAAACCAATATGAATTCTCAACTAACTACATAAATCTAGTGCTTTGCATGTAGTAGAATAAATGAATGAAGCAAGGTCTATACAAATGTTTTGCTATGCAATCTTGGTGTGAAAGAGTACTCCAATTTAAGATATCTCTAAACTTATTATCTTCCATATAGCAAATTTCAGCATCAAAACTATTTTCAAGAAGAATCACAATAAGCCCCCAATGTCAAGATTGTTGTTTATTCTTTTCCACAAGTGCTAAAGAAAGCGTTCAAGACTTTTAAAGATATACAAAGTCACTGAAGAATCTGTGATGTCTTAAAATGACTTATTACTGTTATCATGGGTGTTAAATGACATATTTAATGTTAAATAATCTGATTTTCTCAGTGATTGTGTGAATGAAATAAGCAAAATAAGCTTTAAAAATATAAATAAGAACTTTCTCATTCAATCAAGTAAATTATAATTTACAACTCTTGTTCCACATACCCTTAATCCCTAAATGGGATTAATATATTAACATTACTTTAGTTTTTGTGTTACATGTTATATAGTGTTTTGAAGCAATCATTTGAAATAAGACAGGAAAAACAATGCTTAGCATGGAATTGTACTAATTTGTATACACTAAAATGAAAAATATGAACTTTTAGTTTTGCCATGAATACATCTGTTCACAATAATACCTAGCCATCAATGCCAATGACAGATGTCTTCATGTTTAGAAATACTAGTTAGCTAAATACCTGAACCTGGCATCTTTATGTCTCAGTCAGTTAACCTATTTGTCAAGATGAATGAAACCAGACTATGTTATATGAATTTTTAGTATTAATTTACTTTGAAAATGTCAATAAATGGGCAATGAGAAGTTGAAAGCCGAGAGTTGAGTATAGTTGTTTGTTTGTTTTGTGGACAGAGGTTAGCTAAGTCACGAAGGACTGAAGCTGCTTCAAAATTCAGAAGGACTTCAATAGCTTTTAATATAACTTCCTTGGCAACGAAATTTATATTGCCCGGGAATTGTTTTCCTACCCACTGTAGATAAATTTTAGTACAAATGTACTACACTAAAACTTTCTTATTAGCAAATTATAGTAGCCACAGTAACTAAAATCTGCTGGTTCTCTGGATGGCATGAAAGAACACCTAGAAATGCTGAGTAGGGAAAAGAAAAAAATAGTCTATTCTAATTTCTTATTATAAATTTTTAAGTGGTTGTAACAGTTCAAAATAAATATACATTTATATGTCCTATATATCTCTCTCTCTTCATAAAAACACAATGTGATACGTACAATTAGCTCCATTTTTTCAGATTAAAAAAAACTGGGGCACAGGAAAGTTAAGCCAAAGGTCACTCAGCAAGTAAGTTGAGGAGGCAGGATTGAAACTCAATCAGTTATCTCTGGAACCTACATTGCCAACCTGTTAAGCTCTTCATATTGGCACAGGATGTTAGAACCACAGAAAAACAATACTGTGAATTTTTAATAGTGAATAGCATATTAACAGGAAGTGCTTCCTTAAAAAGAACTAGAGCCTTAAAATGAGCTATGGAAGTTGTTTCAGATTTTATTATGAATAAAATCCATTTCCAGGTGCACTGGATGTCACTTTTCTTCATAAATATGTAATCATAAAGATATGCAAATTAAAATAACATTGAAATACCACTACATACCCACTAAAATGGCTATAATCCAAAAGACAATACCAATTTACTGTATTAGTCCATTCTCACGCTGCTATGAAGAAATGCCCCAGACTGGGTAATTTATAAAGAAGCAAGATTTAGGCTGGGTGGGGTGTCTCACACCTGTAATCCCAGCACTTTGCAAGGCCGTGGCAGATGGGTCACCTGAGGTCAGGAGTTCGAGACCAGCCTGGCCAACATGGAGAAACTTGTCTCTACTAAAAACTCAAAAAATTAGTTGGGCATGGTGGCAGGCACCTGTAGTCCCAGCTACTTGGGAGGCTGAGGCAGGAGAATCACTTGAACCTGAGAGGCGGAGGTTGCAGTGAGCCAAGATTGCGCCATTGCACTCCAACCTGGGGAACAAGAGCGAAACTCCATCAAAAAAAAGAGAGAAAGAAAGAAAAAGAAAAGAGGTTTAATTGACTCACAGTTTTACATGGCTGGGAAGGCCTCAGGAAACTTACAGTTATGGCAGAAACCAACTCTTCACAAGGAGGCAGAAGAGAGAATGAATACCAGCAGCGGAAATGCCAGATGCTTATAAAACCATCAGATCTTATGAGAACTTACTATCACAAGAGAAACTGCCCCAATGATTCAATTACCTCCAGCTGGTCCCGCCCTTGACACGTGGGGATTATTAAAATCCAAGGTGAGATTTGGTGCGGACACAGAGCCAAACCATATCACAAATGTTGGCAAATATGTGGAGAAACTAGAATCCTCATATACTGCTAATGATAATGCATAATATATGGCCACTTTGGAAAGCAGTTTTGCAGTTTCTTAAAAACTAAACAGAATCTCACTCAACAATCCAATTTCACTTCTAGGAATCTACCCCAGAATAAATGAAAACCTAAGTCCATAAAAGCTAGTAAGGGAATGATAGCATTATTCATAATAGCTAAAAACTAGAAACAATACAAATGTTCTTCAACTGGTGCATGGCTTTGTTATATCCACACACCAGGGGGGTTTAAAAAAAAAAAAAAAGGAATGTCCAGAAAAGAGACAAATGTAGAGTTAGAAAAGGTTTATCTGGGCCGGGCATGGTGACTCATTGCTGTAATCCCAGCACTTTGGGAGGCCGAGGCAGGCAGATCACCCGAGGTCAGGAGTTCGAGACCAGCTTGGCCAACGTGGTGAAACCCCAGTTCTACTAAAAATACAAAAATTAGCTGGGCGTGGTGGCGCAGGCTTTTAATCCCAGCTACTCCAGAGGCTGAGGCAGGAGAATTGCTTGAACCCAGGAGGTGGAGGTTGCAGTGAGCCAAGATCGCGCCACTGCAATCCAGCCTGGGCGACAAGAGTGAAACTCTGTCTAAAAAAAAAGAAAGAAAGAAAGAAAGAAAGACTTTATCTGGAACTAGGGATGACAGCAGGGATTGACTGCAATGGGCTGCAAAAATATGGGTTTTGGAAGGATAGTGGAAATGTTCTAAAACTGGATTGTGGTGATAATTGTACAACTATATAAACTTGCTAAATAGTGCTGAATTGTATATTTAACAATATGTAAATAATACCTTAAAAAAGTTGTTAAAATAAAATGCATATCAGTAAAATGATTCCTTAAATCATAAACGTGTTTGCCAAAAGAGAACTGATTTTAAAAAACTGCAATGCCTATCCTATATTAGTAATATCTAAATGATGGTATTTTGATTTTGAAATTTACTGAATTGCTATTTTCAATTCAGTATTCACCCATAGAAATGGTTTTTCGATGTAAAGGCATTTCAGACATACTTTAGTCTTCTAAGTGTAATCTGAATGTTTTGTACGATTAACCCGCACGAGGGTAGAAATAAAGTCATGTTTTCATTAATATAAAAATGTCAGCCAGGCACTGTGGCTCACGCCTGTAATCCTAACACTTTAAGAGGCCGAGGCGGGTGGATCACCTGAGGTCAGGAGTTCGAGACCAGCCTAACCAATATGGTGGAACCCCATCTCTACTAAAAATACAAAAATTAGCCAGGCGTGGTGGCGCACACCTGTAACCCCAGCAACTCGGGAGGCTGAGGCAGGAGAATTGCTTGAATCCAGCAGGTTGAGGTTGCAGTGAGCCAAGATCACACCACTTCACTCCAGCCTGGGCGAAAGAGCAAAACTCCATCTCAAAAAAAAGAAAAAAAAAAGTCACTGTTTAGAGGTTGAATCATTGGAGAATCTTGGTGCCCCTGCCCACAAGTCTTTTACAGTTATTTCTAAATATCCCAGATGATATTCCACACAAGCTTTAGAACCATTCTTACCCATTCTTGTTTTACTCTTTAAATCAACAAAATGTTATTGAATAATTATGTGCATGACTCTGGAGACACAATGATGAACAAAGTATCCCCACCTCCAGGTTAGGGTAGCCCTAGAAGCGGACACTAAACAATATATGAACACTTCCTCCAAAATGTTCACTGCCTGAAGGCCTTGAAAGGAGGGCCCCAGCCATGACAATGGTTGCCAGTGCTTACATAAAAAGATAGTTTCCTTGCTGTTCCACCAGACTTCAGAGAAACACTGCTGCTTTCTGAATAGATGTGGGGAGATTTTCTCCATCTTCTATTACACTTCTTCATTTGGGCTCTGAAATAGTATTACTTGTGTCCCAAACTCATAAGACCTTCAATGAACAGCAGTCCCTTCATCTATGATGGTTCTCCATGAAGGACCAGACCCAGTCCCTCAGGCCATTGGGTAAATAAACATGCTTTCCCTTCTAGCTTCTCCTTCTCATTTTCATCCTGACACACTTATACCATTGCCTATGAGGGTATGCACACAGATGCCTAGGCTAGGTGCCAGCTACACACACAGTTTTTCTCAGTGAAGCCCAGCATGACACCTGCTGCATAAGATCTAATTAATTAGCCGACATAAAAGAAAAACCTATTTTTCTTTTGATTCTTAATTTTAGCATGTGTGGAGTTCAGTGCTTCTTAGAAAAACTTTCTCTCAGAAGACTACTCATTTTAATACACAGCATATGTATGTTCCAGTTACGTTATCTACAGCAAGGTATATTAGCAAAAAGTAATAGCTGCTCTGGATTCTGAATTTTGATCACTTGAATACTTAAAATGAGTCAGAATTCAATTTTGGAAAATTGCTGATAGCAAAATGTTAATGAAAAATATTACATCAATCACAGACTTCCAGAAATGTTGTATTAAAGTTTCCCAAAGGCTTTCATGTACAGATTATTTAAATAATACAGTCTTTATTAATGATCTCTTTGTAATTCTGAATATAGCACTAATTTATTCAGTTGCCTTACCGATTCAAACAAGACCATAAACAGCATGAAAACATAAAATGTTGTGTCCTGATCTGACACAATTGCTTTAATAATGATGAGAAACAGGCTTTACGTAAATGGAAAGTGATTATTCTCTCTAATACACAAAGTCATACAGAGGCAGAAATCTAGGTTTGTATTCTTTTCATAGGGCTAGAGTTATAAATTCTACAAGATTAACTACATATAGACTACAGCCCCACATACACACACACACACACACACACACACACACATTAGATCACACTATCATTTTAAGTGCTTTGTTAATGTATAATTTACATATAATCACCCATTGTAATTGTGCAGTTCAATGAATACAAATATATACAGTTGTACGTACCACCAGAATCAAGATATAGAACAAAAAGGTATAATCCAAAAAATTTAATCATGCTCCGCTGTAGTCAACACTTTCTACTCACCTTGACCCCTAGGAATCATCAAGCTACTTTCTTTCACTTAGCATAATGATTCTGAGTTTCCTCTATGTTGCTACATCTATCAGGAGTCAATTCTTTTTTATTGTTATATATTACTCCATTTTATGGATGTACCACAATTTGTTTATCCTTTCACCAGTTGATGGACATGAGTAATTTGTATTTTTTGGCTATCACGAACAAAGCTACTGTGAACAGTTGTGTGGACATACATTTGCATTGCATTCGAGTAAAAACCTAGAAATGGGGTTGGTGGGTCATATAGTAGTTATGTATTTTAATTTCTAAGAAACTTTACAAAGAGGCTGTAATATTTTTAATTTCTACCAACAATTCTATTTGTTCCATGTCTTTGCCAACATGGGATATTTTTAAAATCAGTCATTCTACTGAGTGTACAGTGCTATTTCATTTGTAATTTTAATTTGTATTTCCTTAATGATGAATGATGTTCAGCAAATTTTCATTTGTTCATTGACCATTCATATGTGTTCTTTGGTGAAGTGTCTGTTCCAATCTTTTTTTTTTTTTTGAGATGGAGTTTTGCTCTTGTTGCCCAGGCTGGAGTGCAATGGCACAAACTCGGCTCACCGCAACCTCTGCCCCCCAGGTTCAAGTGATTCTCCTGCCTCAGCCTCCTGAGTAGCTGGGATTACAGGCATGCAGCACCATGCCCGGCTAATTTTGTATCTTTAGTAGAGACAGGGTTTCTCCATGTTGGTCAGGCTGGTCTTGAACTCCCGACCTCAGCTGATCCGCCCACCTCAGCCTCCCAAAGTGCTGAGATTATAGGCGTCAGCCATTGCACCCAGCCTGTTCCAATCTTTTATGCAGTTTTTATTGATATTTTTATCTTTTATAGTGAGTTATATATTCCAAATACAAGTTCTATATTAGATATATTTTTTACAAATGTTTTCTCCCAGTCTGTGGTTTCCCTTTTCATTTTCTTGTGTCTTTATGAGAGCAAAATTTTAAATTTTGATAAATTCAAAATTATCATTATTTTTCCCTTATGGTTCATCCTAAGAAATCTTTGCCTAACCCAAGGTTGCAAAATTTTCTGGTTTTTTTCCCTATGTTTTCTTTCAGAATTTTTATAATTTTAGCTATAAATTTTTTATTTATTTATTTATTTATTTATTTATTATTTTTATTTTATTTTTTTTTTTTTTGAGACGGAGTCTTGCTCTGTCACCCAGGCTGGAGTGCAGTGGCACAATCTCGGCTCACTGCAAGCTCCGCCTCCCGGGTTCACGCCATTCTCCTGCCTCAGCCTCCCAAGTAGCTGGGACTACAGGCGCCTGCCACCACGCCCGGCTAATTTTTTGTATTTTTAGTAGAGATGGGGTTTCACTGTGTTAGCCAGGATGGTCTTGATCTCCTGACCTCGTGATCCGCCTGCCTCGGCCTTATAATTTTAGCTATAAATTTTTAAGTTTTCAGCTTAAATTTTTATAGTTTAGGTTTAGCTCAATAATACATTTCAAGTTAATTTTTACATACAACATGAGGTAAGGGTCAATGTTCAGCTTTTTCATATAGATATCCAATTTTTCTTGTGAAATTTAAAGGACTAATCCTTTCCCACTGACTTACCTTGGCAGCCATTTTTTGAAAATCAGTTGACTGTAGATGTGTAGATTTATTTCTGAACTCTTCATTTTGTTCCATTGATCCATTGGTCCACTGATGCCAACACCATACAATCTTCATTACTGTAGAATTAGAGTAAATCTTGAAATTAAATAGTATGAGATCTCCAAATTTGCTCTTTGTTTTCAAATTGTTTTAGCTTGTCTACTTCCTTTACATTTTTATATGTACTTTAGAATAATTTTCTGTTTCTACTTAAAATATAGTCCACTGGAGTTTTGATAGGAATCATACTGAATCTATAGACAAATTTGGAGAGACTTGGTATTTTAAAAGTATCTAGTCTTCTGATTTATGAGCATGGTATAGCTCCCTTTTTTTCTAAAACTTAACAAAGTTTTGTAGTTTTAAGTGTGCAGCCATTGCACATATTTTTTGTAAACTGTCACCCTAGATATTTCAGGTTTTCACATTATAATTTTAAGCAAAGTGTTGGAAGTAGCATTCCTAGAAGTAGAACAGATTAAAGGCAAAAGAAAAACGTTATCTGAAATAATTCTAATTGAGAAGAAAAATGGCAATATAATTATTGAATAACAAAAGCTATGTAAAGGAATTATCATTGCTATTACATTCACTTTTATATCTGAGCATACAAATTAGTGCTTTATTTACAGTGAATAATAATATAAAACCTACTTGGAGACCAGTAAAAAAGAAAAGGCCCTAAACCGAAAATCAGCAGGCCTAGACTTGAGTCATGACTTGAATATTGAAGAAGTGTATAGTACAAGGTAAATAAACCTTGACAAACATTTTCTCCCTTCTCATTTTGTGTTCAACTAATACTTGGCAAATGTTTACAAGAGCCAAACAGTATGCTAAATGCTATAAAATGGGAAGAATCCTTCACAGCATATCCTTAAGTGTCAGAATGAAACCTCAAATGAGAAAGAGTTATATGAAATATTTTGGTAAGATAAAATGTGTATTTTAATGTGCTATTATTATTTATTATAATTATGGCATAAAAAGTTCATTTAGGCTGGGCACAGTGGCTCACGCCTGTAATCCCAGCACTTTGGGAGGCTGAGACAGGCGGATCACCTGAGGTCAGGAGTTTGAGACCAGCCTGACCAACATGGAGAAACTCCGTCTCTACTAAAAATACAAAAATTAGCTGCGCATGATGGCACATGCCTGTAATTCTAGCTACTCGGGAAGCTGAGGGAGGAGAATCACTTGAACCCGAGAGGTGGAGGTTGCGGCGAGCCGAGATTGCGCCATTGCACTCCAGCCTGGGCAACAAGACCAAGACTCCTTCTCAAAAAAGAGAAAGAAAAAAGAAAAAAATTCATTTGTAGGTGCTATTACTTTAATACAGAGCTCATACCAAAAGAAGAAAGTAGCTCTGAAAAAAATTAAATGGATTATAGCTAGAGAATCCTAAAAGTAATCACTCCATGATACACTGAAACCTTTTCTCTTCTATTACCTTCTAGTTGTATGATACAAGTAGCATCTAAATCCATAGACATGGAAGAAGGCTGACTTGTTTTTAAACCCTACAAAGAAAAAGAATGACTTGTTTTTAAACCCAAAAAAAAATTTGAATATTTATGCATTTTTTCCTTCCAGATGAAGGAAGTAGCCTTATTAATTTCTATTAATAGGAGATGTGCTGACAATTTTTCTGTTAGGAACCTGGCAAACTCACAAATATGACAGATGAACTCAGAATTTAGAAGTATGCCAAAAGACTTTATGCAAAGGAATATAGTAAAAAAGAATTCAGTTTCTCTGGTTATAGATTGTTATCCAAATAAAATATTTATGTATTGGTCACTATATCATATGTATTGGTCACCATATCATATAAATTGGTTGAAAAATGATTTTCTGGTTTTTCTGTGTGTATTCTTTTTTTTTTTAGGTTTGATTCTCATAAAGGTTTCTGGTGTCAGTTACTGGAAGAAGGTAAAACAAAATGCCTTGGAAAGAGCAAAGGAAGAAAATACCCTCCAATGGATTCTGATGTAAGCATAGACCTTAAAAATACAAACTAAATCAGCAAAATGGTAACCAATAATATCATCTACTTTCTTAAAAAACTAGTTAAAGTCAAAATTCAGCCTTTCTAAAAATTAAAAGTGCCATTTCAATTTCAGTACAGGTAGGTTGCTTATTTTGATTTACCCACAATATATTATTACCTGTCATGCAAGAATAAAGGAAAACAATAGAATTCAACATTCTGAATAAGAACAAAGAGATAATATCTTATTCCAAAAAGAATGATACCTGCACAAAAATTTTAGTATAAATGTTAACTGAAACCAAGACAGGAAGTATATCCATTGGAAAGTGAAAATAGGACCAAGATTTCTATTTTTGGCCGAGTGTGGCGGCTCATGCCTGTAATCTCAGCACTTTGGAAGGCCGACGTGGGTGGATCACTTGAGGTCAGGAGTTCGAGACCAGCCTGGCCAACATGATAAAACCCCATCTCTACTAAAAATACAAAAAAAGATTAGCTGGGCATGGTGGCAGGCACCTGTAATCCCAACTACTCAGGAGGCTGAGGCAGGAGGATCGCTTGAACCTGGGAGGTGGAGGTCACAGTGAGCCCAGATTGCACCATTGCGCTCCAGCCTGGGCAGCAAGAGTGAAACTCCAACTCAAAAAAAAAAAAAAAAAAATCCTATTTTTTTGACTGCCTGAGTCATTCTGTTGTAGTAAGTGTGCCCTGGGCAGTAATGTAAGTTACTGATATAATATACTAAGTTTTGAGCTGTTAATATGCTAATAAAATGAAAGAAGCAATGTATTTCCCAACATCTAACATACTAGCAGATAATTTAGGCTTTGGGGAATGTAGACACACACTTTGCAGTATGTATTCAGCACTTCCTGTTTATTCTGTTCAGAATGGAGACATGGTGATCACTTAATGCTACAGTTTTCTCCATTTCTATACCCCACATTTTTACTTTAATGCTTACTTGACATATATTAAGATTTACTAATAATATTTTTATTTATTATTAGTCTAGTTAGTAGTTTCAATATAACCATGCAAGTAGATTTTGATTTGTAAATTTTTTTTAGATCTCAGAAATTAAAATATGATTTGGGATTTTTCCCCCACAATTAATACATTACATTAACTGAGAACCCTAAGATGGTCTGAGGATCCTAAGGTGGGCTAAACTTATTAGAATACTTTAACAAAACCTTGAGGACTACTTTTTGTGCCTTGCCTGATAGATGCAGGGTCTGTCCTCAATAAACTCATAATTAAATCATATACGGAA
Organism: Homo sapiens; assembly: GCF_000001405.40. Lineage (NCBI taxonomy): Eukaryota > Metazoa > Chordata > Mammalia > Primates > Hominidae > Homo > Homo sapiens. Next base: position 118,254,880 of record NC_000004.12, read on the forward strand.
GAGAGAGAGAGTTTCTGTTATTTTGATAAACAAACTGCATTTTCAGAACTCCAATTTTCTGTGGCTGATTAAAATATACCTTCAGAGCACTTTGAAAACAACCCTTCTTTTCCCAAAAGAAATTGACATACAATTTCTATAGTATTTCAAGAAAGTAATATAAAATATATCATATGCATTTATGTCAAAGCTATTTCCCCGTAAATTTATTAAAGCTAAAATGTTTAAGAGACACTGCAGAATATCTTTCTTAGCATTTTGTTTTACTCTGGTCTAACACAGACCTTATTAAATTTGGAGGTAGAGAAAGATAAGAAAAACACAACTTTTCAGGATATCCTTCCTTCTCAACAAGGTTACTGAGTAATCCATATTGGGTTTATTTAAGGGAGTGGCTGATTTTGTGAAAATAATGTCCACAAAGCAGGTAAGAGTAAAGAGGTCTTCACAGAGGTAATGAAAATACAAATGTGTAGGAGGGATTAGAGTGGGCAGTACTGTCACCACACCTTTTGCCTCTTCCTAGTAAGAAAAATGCCAGTACCCAAGACTGTCAGTAAAATATCATAGCATGTGCTAAATAAATAGTCCATATGCTTAATACAAATTTTAATCCAGATCTGGTATACTTGGTACTTATTTCAACGTAGTCAAAGTGTATGAAATGTAATAAACAAAATAAAATGTACTTTTCTCTCCTCCTCTCCACTTAGAGCAGGACATTTCTGTCAAGCTACTATCGAGATCACAACGTGGAACTCTCAAAGCTGCTGCACAAACTGGGTCAGCCTCTGCCATCCTGGCTGAGACAGGAGCTGCAGAAAGTAAGATAGCACTGAGAGAAAACTTGAGACTTCATCGTCCATGTAGAACACACCTTTTCCAAAGCTTCCAGAAGCTACCAAAAGGCAGTTGAAAAATATACCTCTTCAAATGAGAAAAAAGAACAGTTTCTTCCATGTGCTGGCACGTGGATGATTAGAAAAAAAGAAAAAGTATGTGTTACAAGCCTTGAGGCCTGTGGCCTTTCTCTTAACCCATATCTGAGCCTGTGGGATTATTGTAGACTACTGTGCACTCATGTGGAAGTCAATTGCAACCAACATAAATATCAAACACAAATGCAGAACTGTTCCATTTCATAGTAATATTTACACTTTTATATATCAACTAAGATTGTGTCTCTGTAGGTTTTTAGACCACTGTTTGCCTGTACGATGTTTTCTTATTATTTTATTCTATAAAGTGTCCTATGAAACAAGAAGCAAAATAAACATCACAATGTAGCATAAAATGTCAAAAGCATAACACCCATGAAAAATGCTTGCCAAAATTTAAATCCACTTAAGTATTTAGAAATAATTGTAAATTATAATTTGTGCTAGATCAGAGTGGAAAAGTTATATATGAGTGTTATCTGCACCAAAAAAAAATAAGTGCTATAGCAAAAGTGATTTTTTCATATACATAGTCTAGTGAATATATGTAAAAATTACTAACTCTTCCATCACAACGTAATTGTTATACTGAAATATATACTGTAAAGCTGTTGGATGGTAAATAGAAACACATCAAGTACACCAAAACAGTAAATAACAATGTAAAGTGTACTGACTGAATCCTCTAAAAGGGAGAAATTGTAGGGGTCTAAAAACATATCATCGAGAATTCTATGTCCACTTGCTGTAAGCTGTGAATCTATCCCAGTAGTCCTCACTAGTTCTACAGAAATGCATGCCTAGAGTCTGAGGTATGTGTCATCTCCAGAAACAGGTTGACTTTTAAATGTGAATAGCTATTTTTAATGCTCCCCAAAACAAAACCTATTAAACTAAAACTAAAAACAGTTTCCCTAGATGATGTGGTTAGGCTATTTACATTTAGGTTATTAAAAAATTGCATTTTCCCAGATAGTTCAAAATAAAATTATGTAATGTAGTAGAGATTTATAACAAAAAACAAATTAATATATTATTTGTAATCTAATGTTTGCAATGATACTTTTGATATAAGGCAAAGAAACATAAGCAGAGCAGAGGCCCATTTTTGAAAATATTTCACCCATCACTCTGGTGGAAGTAACAGATCATAGGTACAATTAAGGATTAGCTACTAAATTAAATGCAGGAAGTACAAAGATGAGCAAGTCATGCTCTTGAAATATATTTACATTTCAATTGTAAATAATATATATGGTTAATAAAGTTTCCAAAAAAGAAAAGAATACATCATACTTATTTTCCTGTTAATATTTACTTAATTTTTTTTTTTGAGAGGGGGACAGAGTCTCACTATGTCACCCAGGCTGGAGTGCAATGGTGTGATCTCAGCTCACTGCAACCTCCGCCTCCTGGGTTCAAGTGATTCTCCTGCCTCAGCCTCCTGAGGAGCTGGGATTACAGCCATGCACCACCACGCCCGGGTAATTTTTGTATTTTTAGTAGTGACAGGGTTTCACCATGTTGACTAGGCTGATCTTGAACTCCTGACCTCATGATCCACCCACCTTGGCCTCTCAAAGTGCTGAGATTACAAGCGTGAGCCACCATGCCCTGACTACTTAATTTTTAAATGTACTGTACATATACATAAAATTTAAGTAGTAAATTAATTCCCTGCTATGATTATAAGCCTTTATAAAATATTATCAAAGGTATGATTAGAAACAAATGGGAGGAAAACCCATAGTAAAAATATTTTCATTGTCATTTTAATGGGTAAAACTATCAATTACTAATTAGAAAATGAATTGTGAGATCCACTTACTATAAATTTTTAACTGTACATTATAATTACTTTTTTAAAGTTTCATGTACCTAAAGCATATGCTAATTTTTAAATATACTATTAGCAGAAAAAATTGGAAAAATCACCAATTTTTAAGACTCTTGACTCTAAAAGCAAAATCAAAGTGATTTGGACAAATATGGGAAACACAGTCTTCATGCTTACTGCTGTCTCTTTTATAGCAGCAGATGCCAGACATGCTAGGAAAATTACTATAGTCTTCCATCTCCACCAACTTAAGAAAACTGGCTTAGGAAGGTTAAACATGAGAATAGGCCTCAGCAGTTATATACAGTGTCATGTTTTCATTTGGCAACAACATTTATTCTAATAAAAAAAGAAAAGAAAAACTGATACATTTATGCTTTAATGGTAAGATGTACATTTGAACTGCTAAGCAAAGCTGCTAATGGCCTATTTTGTTTAGGTAAATCGAGTTGACTGAACACTTCATCCTTTTAAATAGATGTCAAAAACATACTCCGTGTTTGTATAAAGACAGGAGAAAAAGGAAGAGATCTTACCAAAATTTATTCATTCACAAGTACATGTATTACGCTAGCTAGAGCAGCAAACCTGTGAAAGGATTTTTGACCACTCAATGTGTCTTGAAGACAGCATCAAATTCTAGAGGACATGCATACTTTCCACATTATATACTCCAACTGGTTAATATGCTAATCTGAAAGTAACATAAATACATATGAGAGAATAATGAGAGATAATCTGATTTAAAACTAGCTTTGTATAGAATTCCCTTTTTCATTGTTTAAAATATGAAACTTCCTCAGGAAGAAATGAAATGGTTATTTCAATGTTTATAGCTGTAATATTCTTGTCATTCACATTGAATGAAAATTACTGGAAACATTTTTTTCTCTGAGTTTTTTAAAATAAAAAACCTAGATATAATTCTGATAGTAGCATGGTACCTCATATGTACAACAATAAACTGATAGGAAAATGAAGAGTTTGGACCTGGTGATTTTAGGTAACAGTAGGTATTTTATTGTTTTGGCCTGGGAGTGAGTGGGAGGTGGTTACGGAACATAGATACTACTAACATAATTCAAAATGAAGAGATAGAAAATTTTCAAGTAGGATATATATCTATCCTATATTTATAAAACCTTTCACAGATCCTTCTCCTCCTAAATTTATATGTTACTTGTAGTGAATTTTTTTTTAGTTCTAATAAATATAATGCAGTTTCTAGGTCATTTATGGGACCCTAGAATAAGAGAATAAGAGAATCACACAGCTGTTACTAAATGGACTTCAGAACAGGAATGATTATAGCATTTCTTACCCCTAGTATTCTGTTCTGCTCCATACCAATGAGCCCATTTCTTTCCTCAGAGTTTAAAAGGTGTTCATCTCTCTTTTCTAAAAATCTGGCAAAACAATCTCTGCAAAAAAAGGAGGGAGGGGGGATTCGGGGAGTTTAAATTTAGCCATTTATCTTCATTCTCCACACATTTTCTTTTCTCTCTTCCAATCCCTTTCTTTTCTAGACATCAGCTTTTCACATGTTGCAACCCACCCTATCTCGGGGCACCAGCTGAATACCCCACAGGCTTGCCTCCCACACACACAGCTCACTGATTGAGCTGGGACATCTCATCTCATCTTCTGCCTTCAGACTGTGATTTACAGCATTGGCTTCCCTGTTCCTCAGGCTTTCAGTCTCAGATTGGATTACACCGTTAACCACCCAGTCTCCAACTTGCACAGCAGATTATGAGACTTCTCAGCCTTATTAATTCGGCTTTTTTGGAGAACTCTAAGACACACAGTTTCACTTAGATTCCATCCCCCCAAAAATCTGCAATCTACTTTGAGTAAGCCTTTCACCTATGGCCAAGGATACCTAACAAAATTTGAGGGCCACTTGTCCCCAAACCAGTGCTGCTACCAGTTCTTGCCATTTATTGTCCCTAATTTGTTATCTATAAAAGTTCTCTATATACTCAGTGCCCTTAATAAATGTTACAGCGTAAAATTTATTCATTTATCTGTTAGTACTGAAACTAATAAATAAGTTGAACCTCCTTCCATTAATCCTGTAACTATCCTCATCTTTAAGTATCTATCACTTCTCAGTCTATTTCCAAAAGTTATAAATACAAAAATTAATAAATCACTAAAGTTGGAATTAGTTATATGCTCACCATTTCCTCTGGAGCATCTCTTAGAGAAAGAGGAATCATGAATAGTATCAGTAAGTTAAAAAAGACATTCACTTGCCAGAGTCAAGTCAAGTATCTCTTTTACTATACTATAGTCAGAGCTCTCCAGAGAAATAGAACTAGGGGCAGATACATATACATATATATATATATATATAAGCACATATATACACACATATAAGCATATATATATATATATATACACACACACATACATAAGTATATAAAGACTCATTATAAGGTATTGGCTTAAATGATTTTAGAGGATGCAAAGGCCCATGATCTGTCATCTGCAAGTTGGAGACCCAGGAAAGCCAGAGGTGTAGTTCAAAAGCTTAAGAGCCAGAGAGCCAATAATGTTGCAGTCTGGGTTTGAAGGCCTAAAAACCAGGAGCACTGAGGACAGAAGAAGTTCAATGTTCAGCTCAAGCGGCCAGGCAGTTAACTGGACCTTCTTCCACCTTCTCATTCTATTCATGCCCTTAATGGATCGCATGATGCCCAACAACACTGGGGAGGGTAATCTGCTTAACTCAGTCTACCAATTGAAATGCTAATCTTATCCAGAAACACCATCATAGCCACACCCAGAAATAATGTTTCACCAACTATCTAGGTACCCTGTGACCCAGTCAAAGTTGACACATAAAATTAATCATCACATTTACTTAGCAATCCCTTTCAAGGAAGTCAAACCACATTTTACAAATTAAATGCTCACAGCATAAGGTCTCCAAGATATTGTTAGAAAGAATGTATTTGCCCACATTTTACCATACAGAAAAGTGAATTACACTGAATAAAATGTGAGATAGTTCGAAAGCACCCAGAATCTGTGACAAATCTTACAAAACTGTCTACATTAAGCTGCTTCTTGGTTTTGAGGGAATACATTAAGTGTAGGAAATGCCTGCTGTCTACATTTCTGATGCCAAAATGCTCTATTTCAAATCAATAACTGAAATGGAAACCAGACCTTGCTCTTAAATATTATACATAATTTATAAAGTTGGACCAAAGAAAATGAGCCTTCTCTATTTGATAAATAATATTCTGAATCTAAATTTTTTTCAATTTCAACATTAAACAGAAATGCAAGCTCAACATGCTATATACTCCTAGTGCTTTAGTGTATCATTTCAGAACTTACTGTAAATCCTTCAAAGCAAACAAAACTTTTAAAAGCCCACAAAACAAATATACTATCAAAAATAAAGCTTGCTTCACATATAAATGAATAAATTGACAAATTTTTAATAATTTAAAGATTATAATTTTAAAAACAATAAAAAGCTATGAAAATATAATATTGATAAATTCTCCCTCCCACTTGTGATCATCCTGAGAAAACCATACTGTTTTCATTCCCAGTTAATTACAGGGATGTCCTCAGTGCAATCAGAATAGCAAAAAAGATAGATTGGACTATAATTGAACATTTGTTCTTTACTAAGTAACATTGGGTAGGTGACTTTTCTGATCTCAATTTACACATCTGTCAATGGAAGTCACATGTGATGATTGGTAAGGAGGGGGAATGCTTTTCTCCCTGCTTTGTTTAACATGTTCCAGTAGATCAATTATTGTAACATGTGATTCTGTCTCTGATCTACTCTCCCATAGAGGAGGAACCAATGAATTATCTAAGTGGTAAAACTGGAAGCAGAAATTCCGCTTGAATAGCTCAACCTATCTCCCTCACTTCTCTTTGGGATCTACCTGCAAAGATGAGCCACCCTGGTCCTCTTGGCCTGTGTTAAGTTTAGCAGACACTGACGTTTATTTAAAGCCACAAACAAAACCAAAAGAAGAGCTAAAAACAAAAATAAAAACATAAATACATGCTCAAAAATTAGGAAGATAAGCAAGAATGTGAGAAACAGTAATATAAATGAGCTAAATGTCTCCCCCTCATGTGGGGAGCCAACAGATACTGCTTAAAGTTGAAAAATTAACAAAGGTAAAAGCGTAATTGGAATTATGAAGATAATCAGCAGAGCTTAAACAAATGGTAAAAGCAAGTTGCCTTTGATAACTGGGACTAGAGTGCTGGACCTGGGAAAAGTATTTAAATTTTTATTTCCAAATGCATTAATTGCTGTACTTGTATAACAACAATAATTTGTCATTTTAAAGATCAAGACTGTAAATATTCAGGACAAACTGTGTCCAGAAGGAGGACCACAGAAGCAAGAAATCTAAGCAGCATCAGATACTGGATATTATCCAAGAGATTAACTAATAAACAGGACCTCTGCTATAGTGTAGTGTCAGCACTACAGTACAAGAGTTTCAAAATATATCCTGTGGATCTTGAGCAGACCTCAGTCCTCTTCAGGGGGTCTGCAAGGTCAAAACGATTTTTATAATAATGTGAATTCATTATATGCCTTCGTCATTGTGTTGATATTGATACTAATGGTGCAATAACAATAATGGGTAAAACTGCTCGTGCTTTAGCATAAATCAAGCCAGTAGAATTAATCTGTACTATTGTATTCATCATCATCACACACTCATTTTTTAAAACAGTGTCACTTATGATTTGACAAAGCAGTAAAATTATTGATATTATTACATTTCCACACTACAGTATATGCTTTTTAATCTTCCGTGTGACAAAATGTGAAGTGTGCCTGAAGCATGTCTGCTACATACTGAAGTAGGTGGTTGTCTTGAAAAAAAAGCCCTTGAGCAGCTGTTTGAGTTGCAAGTGGAACTAGCCACTTTATTCATGGAACATCCTTTTTACTTGAAAGAATGACAGAGAATTATGGTTATTCAGACTTGAGCAATTGGCAAATGTTTTCTTAAAACTGAACGAAGTGAGCCTCTCACTTCAACAAAAAACAATTGACAGTATTTCTTGCCAATTATAAAATTTCAGCTTTCAAGTAAAAATTAGAATTTTGTACAACTTGTATTGCTACCATGAGCTTCACAGCATACTCATATTTAAAGATCTTTCTGATGAGATTGGTGGTGATATTAAAAAACGTAATTTTCTAACATTATATAATGAAAGGTGTCAATGTTTGAAAGATCAGCATAACTCAGTAAACCATTTTCCAAAAAAGCAATGCATGAGGTCACAAAACACATATACATAGTATACAGTATACATATACATAGCATAATCGTTATAATAGTGAAAGGTCTATTCTCAGAGTAAGATAAACCAGTAGATTTTAATGTAGCACAGTATGAACAGTTCATTGATTTATTTCAGATTCCACATTGCAAAAATATCCTTTAAGACAATAGCACTTGTCAATTTTGAATGTAGTATCAAAGAAAAATATCCACAATTATCTGAAAAGGCTATAAATATATACTTTCTTTTCCCACATATGGGTATATAAATATATACTTTCCTTTCCCATACACATAAGGGTATGAGGCCAGATTTTCTTCATATACTTCAACAAAACAACCTATCAAAATAAATTGAATGCAGAAATAGATAGGAGAATCCAATCTCTATTAAGCCAAACATTAAAGAAATTTACCAAAATGTAACACAATGCCATTCTTCTCATTTTCTTTTGTTTTGGGAAACATAGCTATTTTTTCTTTAAAACTATAGCTTTATTATGGGTTTGTTCTTGTTATTTTTTAATGTTTTTTGATTTCTCCATTTTAATTTCTAATAAATTAAATATTAAAAACTATAACTCTATATTATCTATATAGAGTTATCTATAATATTGATAAATTTATCTATAATATTGATAAATATAATGCTTTTGTTTTATAAACAAAAGCCCTTTGGGGTTCTCAACAATGTTTAAGAATGTAAAAGGATCCCCAGACTAAAAAGTATGAGAGCCATTGGCACGGGAGTTGGAAGTAACTTAAGTACCTAAAGCCAAGATTTACACCATCAACAATAGGCTAGAAAGAAAATAAGTGGGAAGCCAGACTACACCTCCTCTCCACCACCTTCCCACTCTACTCCCAGAATGGAGTTGCCTGGCTAGAGATGAAGGAATACTGCAAAAAGGAAAAGAGAGGTAAATTCAAGTTTGGGTTTCTTCTCCCCCTGCCTTCCTCCTTGACACCAAGCTGAGCCCTAAAAATGGAGGATGAGAGATCTTTAAGTCTGAGGATCAAACAGTAGAGAAAGCTGTGCCCTACTTTCCATTTAAAACTCTGCAAAGCAGCAACCTCCTCCGTGTACTCTGCCCACCAATGGTGAAGGCCCTCCCTCCAAGCAGTAGAGATAGCTCATGGTATCCTAGGTATAAATACACAGGTTTGCACAAGCTCCACAGTGGCACAGGAGAACACATAAAAGTTCCATTTCTCCAGATAAGCTGCAGGAATCACCAAGAAAAGCCTTTTAAATCCAAAGGGACCTGGCAGCTGGGACAAAGACGGCATTGAATAACCTGCACAGATTGATGACTACGGGCCATGAAAGGAGCCTAGACCGTGGAATCTAGAGATCACTTTACAAAGACTGAACCTGTTGAGGTTCATCCAATGCCAGCAGAGGAGAGATGATGGCTGAGAACAGATGTTACCCTACCACTTCATGTCCACTGCCATGACCACCTTTGGAAGAAATGGAGAGAACAATCTTGACTTTGACTGGGTTTTCCTAAAAGATATTTAAAAATCATATCTTGAATGGGGACAATTATTAAAAACTAAAGAAAGCTCTATTTTGGACAGGTTGTGAATTATGGAATTTTTACGCACTACATAAGCATTACATTTCAGGTCCAATTAGCAACAATGGATACTCAGGGAAAAAGGGCACTCAGCTAGGGTTTGAGGTTAGTGATAGGCTCTGCCTCAGTTAAGATGATCCAGTGTACACACAGTGATGTAGTCAGGGTTGAGTCTGCAGGTGAGGTTCATCTGTGGATTACCATCTTCCTCCAAAAAACCTATTCCATTCTTGTGGTAGACACACTCTAAGAGTGATGATGCCTTTATATGATCCTATCTCCTTGAGTGTAGGCAAGAACTGTGAATACTATAGGATAGTGAATCCCTTGGTTAGCAAACCCCACATTTGATCTGTCAAGAAATCCTGTTGGCTCAATCTTCACTTCTATCCAAAACCAACCACTTCTCACCAAATCCAGGGCTGCCACCTCATTCTAAGATGCCATAATCAGCTGGGCGCGGTGGCTCACGCCTGTAATCCCAGCTCTTTGGGAGGCCAAGGCGAGTGGATCACAACGTCAGGAGATTGAGACCATCCTGGCCAACATGGTGAAAGCCCATCTCTACTAAAATTCAAAATAAAAAATTAGCCGGGTGTGGTGACACACACCTGTAGTCCCAGCTACTCAGGAGGCTGAGGCAGGGGACTCACTTGAACCCAGGAGGCGGAAGTTGCAGTGAGTCAAGATCGCGCCACTGCACTCCAACATGGCGACAGAGCAAAACTGTGTCTCAAAAAAAAAAAAAAGATGCCATAATCTTTATCCTGGTTATCCTCCCTACTTCCAGGTATCTGTACTACAATCCGCTATTAACCCAACATCCAGGGTAATCCTGAGAGGTGACAGCACGCTGGCAGCCCTCACAGCCCTCACTCGCTTTCGGCGCCTCCTCAGCCTCGGCGCCCATTCTGGCCGCGCTGAGGAGCCTTTCAGCCTGCCGCTGCACTGTGGAAGCCCCTTTCCGGGCTGGCTGAGGCCGGAGCCGGCTCCCTCAGCTTGCCGGGAGATGTGGAGGGAGAGGCGCGGGCGGGAACCTGGCCTGCGCGCGGCGCTTGCGCGCCAGCGCGAGTTCCGGGTGGGCGTGGGCTCCGCGGGCACCGCACTCGGAGCGGCTTGGCCAGCCAGCCGGCCCCGCCGGCCCCGGGCATTGAGGGGCTTAGCACCTGGGCCAGCAGCTGCGGAGGGTGCGCCGGGTCCCCCAGCAGTGCCGGCCCACCAGCGCTGCGCTCGATTTCTTGCTTGGCCTTACCTGCCTCTCCGCGGGGCAGGGCTCGGGACCTGCAGCCACCCATGCCTGCGCCTCCCCCCACCTGGGCTCCTGCGCGGCGGGAGCCTCCCCAACGAGCGCCGCCCCCTGCTCCACCGCGCCCAGTCCCATCGACCGCCCAAGGGCTGAGGAGTACGGGCGCACTACGCGGGACTGGCGGGCAGCTCCACCTGCGGTCCAGGTACAGGATCCACTGGGTGAAGTCAGCTGGACTCCTGAGTCTAGTGGGGACTTGGAGAACCTTTCTGTCTAGCTAAGGGATTGTAAATACACCAATCAGCGCCCTGTGTCTAGCTCAAGGTTTGTAAACACACCAATCAGCACCCTGTGTCTAGCTCAAGGTTTGTAAACACACCAATCAGCACCCTGTGTCTAGCTCAAGGTTTGTAAATGCACCAATCAGTGCTCTGTGTCTAGCTAATCTAGTAGGGACTTGGAGAACTTTTGTGTCTAGCTCAAGGATTGTAAACGCACCAGTCAGCACCCTGTCAAAACGGACCAATCAGCTCTCTGTAAAATGGACCGATCAGCAGGATGTGAGTGGGGCCAGATAAGGGAATAAAAGCAGACTGCCCTAGCCAGCAGTGGCAGCCTGCTTGTTTGGGTCTTCTTCCACGCTGTGGAAGCTTTGTTCTTTTGCTCTTTGCAGTTACTCTTACTGCTGCTCACTCTTTGAGTCCACACTGTGTTTATGAGCTGTAACTCTCACCATGAAGGTCTGCAGCTTCACTCCTGAAACCAGCAAGACCACGAACCCACCAGAAGGAAAAAACAAGCTGCGAGACCAGGAAGAAACTCCGAACACATCCGAACATCAGAAGGAACAAACTCTGCACACGCTGCCTTTAAGAACTGTAACACCCACCGGGAGGGTCCGTGGCTTTGTTCTTGAAGTCAGTGAGACCAAGAACCCACCAAGTCCGGACATAATCCTTTTACAAATTAAATCAAAGCACTTTAATTCCTGCAATAGCTCTACTTTTTATGCTACGGTCCTTATAGTGGCCTGCAAGGCCTTACATGATGTGGTATTCATCACCTTTCTAACCGCAGCTCCTCTTTTCAAACTCTCATTCTGCAACAGTTGCACTGGCTCCCTTGCTGACTATCTTATTTAAGACATTCATGTTAACATGCCCACAAATATCAACGTGGCTAACTTCTACACTGTAGTTCAGTCTTTGCTCAGATGTCATTTTCTCAATAAGGCCTACCCTGACAACCTTACATAAAATTTCACCCCTTCCTCCCTTCCCTGACTCCTGATTCCTATTACTCCGAACTAATCTTTTTTGAACCATAGCACTTAAAATCTTATAACTAATTCTGTAGTTTACCAATTTTATTAGATCTTTTGTCTTCTCCTACTTGAATAAGCTTCTCGAAAGCAAACTATTTGTCTTTTCTTTCATCAATATATCCCCACATCGATGGGTCTAGTCTCTGAAATAATAAGTGCTCAATAAATACTTGTTGAATTAATTTCACAATAAGTAACTGGAAAAGACATGACAGTTTTAACATACATATGTTCTTATATTTAAGTGCTAGAAAAAAGTATAACTTTTCATAAAAATCAATAAATTCGATTAACAAAAATATATATTTCCCCAATCATACAAAGACTTAAAACTGTCTTCTAAATAACAAAAAATAAATTCAATTTTAAATAATAATTAAAATTAGCAAAATAATTATTAAATGTAGGACAAAAAAACAAAACCTCTAACTTTTAAATGATAATTACCAGATAATTCTTATAAGTTATCCTAACAATAATACCAAAAGGAAGATACTGCTGGTTTCCTTCTACAGATGAGGAAACAGGTTTGGAATGGATAGATAATTTTCCCAAGGTCACACAAGTAGCAAAGCTCAGACTTATTTTATACCTAGTATCATTTTTCTCCCTTTACACACAACACCAGTTAAGAGCATGGGCTCTGAGCCAGTGAGACTACATTCAAATCCACTTCAAACCTTAGGTTAATTACATTATTTCTCTGTGCCTCAATCTATTCATCTGTAAATTAGAGACAATAATTGTATAGCGCTCATACAATTGTTAGGATTAAATGAGTTAATGAGCACATAAGTACTCAATAAACATTAGTTATCACCATTACTACTATCTCCCTTAGAGACTGTAAATAATTGTAGTCAGGTGCAGTGGCTCACACCTGTAATCCCAGCACTTTGGAAGGCTGAGGTGAGCAGATCACCTGAAGTCAGGAGTTGGAGACCAGCCTATCCAACATGGCGAAATCCCGTCTCTACTAAAAGTACAAAAATTAGCCAGGCGTGGTGGCGTACGCCTGTAATCCCAGCTACTTGGGAGGCTGGGGCAGGAGAATCACTTGAACTCTGGAGACGGAGGTTGCAGTAAGCCGAAATCTGCCACTGCACTCCAGCCTGAGCGTCAGAACAAGACTCTCAAAAAAAAAAAAAAGATACTGTAAATAATTATTTTCAGAACCCTTTTGTGTTATTTTATATAATTTACTTTCTTAGTCCTTTTCAGTAAGTTCTGTTCAGTGCTATAAAGAATGGTGGGTATTTCAAAATTCGTATGGCTTTTATCAAATTTAAGTCCTCAATTGCAGAGATTTCTTTCTAGACCTTCTGTTTTCTAAGAAATACTGCCCATTTACATAAATTATCATCCTGATAAAAGGGTTTTAAATTAGAGAAATACAAAAGTCACTTATCTGGTTCTATTCTACTTAGTTTTCTATAGTTTTACTTATATAATTAAGAAATAACTACTAACACGTCTTACATATTCAGTTGAAGGTTTTTTTAATGATTGTTCATTTGGAGATGAAATATATTTATTTTTCTCTCTATAGTGTAAGTATGACATTTATTTTAAACTTTTTGTTTGAAATTTTACAAAGATGGCAGAAAACAAATCTATAGACCAATCATATTCCTGAATAAAGAGGCACAATTCTCAACGCAATGTTAGCATGCAGAATCCAGAAACAGGTTACAGGTAGAATACACGGTGACAGAGTGAACTTTAAAGAGTGAATATGGAAAGGCTGGTTGAGCACTGTCCAGGAAGGTGGAAATTAATCTATTCATTTATGACTTTTTAAATAGACCTTTTGAGGGTGTATGATTAGCTACTGTAAAACTCACCCAGGTGAAGTGTACATCTCATAACTGCTGAGTCATTAATGGAATTGAATAGCCATCATGGCGATCTGATGTCAGAAGATCTCTGACACCCAGATAGAAGGCTGATAGACGGGGTTCCTCATGCCCATTTGAAGATAAGCCCTGCCCCCAACCCAGCCCCAGTCAACCATTGATCTGTTTTCTGTCACTGTAAATTTGCCTTTTTTGAACATTTCATATCAATAGATTCATACAGTATGTAGTCTTTTGTGTCTGGCCTCTTTTCACTTAGTGACATGGTTCTGAGTTTCATCTATAGCATGTATCAGCCATAGCATGTTTTTTTAAAAAAACTTTTATGTTAAATTCAGGGGTATATGTGCAAGATGTGCAGGTTTGTTACAAAGGTAAATGTGTTTCATGGGAGTTTGTTGTACAGATTATTTCATCACCCAGGTACTAAGCCTACTACCCAATAGTAATTTTTCCTGATCCTCTCTCTCCTCCCACCCTCCGCCCTCAGGTAGGCCCAGTGTGTACTGTTCTTCTCTATGTGTCTATGTGCTCTCATCATTTAACTTAAATTGGATTTATTCTTATATAGCATCTGAAGTCTTTTATTTTACGTTTTTGATTTTCTATTTTTTTGGAGATGCAGTCTCACTCTGTCACCCAGGCTGCAGTGCAGTGGCACAATCTCGGCTCACTGCAACCTCCACCTCCCAGGTTCAAGTGATTCTCGTGACTCAGCCTCCTGAGTAGCTGGGATTACAGGCACCTGCCACCACGCCTGGCTAATTTTTGTATTTTTTGGTAGAGACAGTGAAGACCTATTCCAGTTATAAATACTAACTAATAGGAATTAGTTTCAAAGTTTGCCATAGAATTTTTCTCTCTGAAATGATTTCCATTATAAAATTTGAAATATAGTCCTATTGCAGCGGGGAGACTTAATTTAAACTTTTTGGCAAAGAGAGAGGTAAGATGTGCCTGAGGCCAAAAGAGTTAGTCGACTTTGCCGTAATATACTAAGCTACATTCAAAAAAGTTTGCCAGTTTTGCTTAAATGTACTACCCTGCATTCATTTTTCCTTCTGTACATTATGTATAATTTCCCAGAATTCTTTTTCACTTTTATCATCCTGGCTTCCTCATTCAACAAACGTTTCATTGAGCATGTTCCAAAGTACTACTGCAGGTAAGATGAATATGACTACATTCTTGCCCTCCAGTAGACTGGGCAGAAATATTTTATTTCTCCAACAGAATCATTGTCTAGTTTGATATACAACACATTAACAGTGTATTAACTACTTCAGACAGTAGGAAATGAATTAAATCTCTAATTGATGAATTCAGTATGTTAAAAATCTGTATATCAAGTTCACATATTAAAAAGGTCTGGTGTATTCCAATGGTATGTTTAGAATATGCATCTGGAGAAAGTTGTTCCTTTCTGGTAGAACCTGAAGTTTTCAATATTCACTGTAGACATTCATCATATAAAACTAGAGTCCAGAGGATAGGCTTTTAGAGATACTAGATATGCTGACATTTTCATGTTATTATCCACATATACATTAATACATGCATGCACAATGAACAAATGTATTTAATTCAAAGGGCTTTAAACACATACCTAAATAATAAGGTAACAAATTCAAAGGGATTTAAACATATACCTAAATAATAGTGTAACAGAGCCATCTAGTGGCCACATAAAAACTGTTGTTTCATGTGATTTTGTTTCGTTCCATCAAGTTTTACATAAACGTAAGCTTATCTTCCCACTAATACAGATATTTATAATGCTTATGGATAATGGGCCAAAGTAATTTGGAGCTGGGGTACTAGAGTAAATGTTTGACATCCTAAGACATCTGTAATCTATATTGTGTGTAGAAAAAGGAGAATTTTAACAAGTGATCATTAAATTTTCAAATTATCTTAATTGATATGGGATGAAAGCATTAGATGTTTTTAAATTGTTAGTTTATGAATACTCCAAAACAAGATCTTCTCTTTTAATATGCCATATTAAATGTTAAAATAAATAACACTCTTATTTTGCATAAAGGCAAGTAAGCCCAAAAAAAAAAAAAAAGCCTCACTAGGAAATAGACTAAAGCAAGTACCACAAGCCATCTTCGAAAGAAAGAAAAAGTCAAGCTTTTGAGATGTTAAATATTTAATGAAACATAAGTGCAGAATCTCACTGACGTGCAAGCTTCTACAACCAAGTCAGGCGTTCACTCTTAAAGTGCTGGAGGCCAGTTTGAGATCATAGAACACATAGGCAATCCAATTTTTCAGGCTAAACCATAAAAGGCTCACAATGTTGCTTGCCAAACTTTTCAATAAATTTATATTATAAATGTTTCACAATGTCAAACACTTACTCTAAAATCCCAGCTCCAAAATTCTTGGATCACCATCACCTCAAAATTCATGGATCCAACTTAAACCACATTATCAATGTCCCTCACTGTTCTCAAGTATTAGCATCTCTTCTTGTCTAACTTAAATGTCATGGTAAATCAATATAACCAGTCCCTTGCATGCATTCCTTTTCCCTTCTATCACTTTGCTCACTCTCTTGGCAAACTGCAACTTGGTTAACTCCAACTCCCTGTCAGCTCCATACCAGCACCTATGCAGTTGAGCATGATGAAGAGAAAATACACAATCATGCTAGAGATTTGACTTTGAATTCATTACAAGAACTCAAGTGAGCTCCTAATGTGACCGGGGAAACCCACTACTTTTCCAAGTCTATTGATGCCATCTCCTAATTATATTTTTTCCTCTCTCCTCAAATTTCCAACACTCTCTCCCCGATCCTCACTCTCGGTTGATGGCCTGGTTTCCTATTACCCCGGAAAAAAACATTAGTAGATGAGAACATTCAAAGTTCACACCACCCACTCATCCACAAGCACCTGTACCCATGTACTCCTATTTCTATAGATGAACTGCCTAAACTATTATCTTAGGGTAACCCCTACTTTTGTGCACTAGATCCCATCTCATTTCCTAAGCAGTTCATCACATATCTGCTGCATCATCAGTTTTTCCATTTCTACTGGATCTTTCCCATCAGAATACAAACATACTTTAAGTTCTCCTATCCTTTAAAAATGACCCATTCTTGATCCCACATCCCTTTCCAGATATTGCTGCATTTTTCTTCCTCTTTACAGTGTAACTCTTCAAAATAGTTGTTCCGAATCCATGATTTCCAATACTTCTCCTGTTCTCTCTGAAATTACTCTCAACAAGGTCCCAAGTGACCCTCATATAGCTAACTCCAATGGTCATTTCTCAACTTCCATCCTACTTGTATCATAAACAATTGACCACTTTCTTTTGAAAAACTTTTTTGACTTTTAAGGTATCACACTCTGCTGGCTTTTCTCCTTAAATTACTTCTCAACATCCTTTGCAGGTTCCTACTGTTTTTCCTGGTAGATTAATATTGACAGGCTCCAAGGCTCAGTTTCTTATCCTATTTTCTTTTTTTCTTTCTTTTTTTTTTTTTAAGAGATGGGGTCTTGGTTTCATGCTCAGGCTGGAGTGCAGTGACATGAGCATAGCTCACTGCAGCCCCGAATTCGTGGGCTCAAGCGATCCTCCTGCCTCAGCCTCCCGAGTAGCTGGGACTACAGGTGTGTGCCACCACACCTGGCTAATTTTTTAAAAAAATTTTTTGTAGAGACGGAGTTTCACCATTTGCCCAAGCTGGTCTCAAATTCATAGGTTCCAAAGAGTCTTCTCTCTCAACCTCCTAAAGTGATGGGATGGGATTAGAGGTGTGAGCCACTGCACCTGGCTTCTTATCCTACTTTTTATCTATCCTTCCTCCCTTGGTACAATTATCTGATCTCATGGCTTTACATACCATCCATAGTTTGACAATTCACATATTTCTTTCTTCAGGCCAAACCTCTCCCCAGACCTCCATATTCATATATTGAACTCTCTACTCAACACTTCCACTTGGATGCCTAAAAAGCATCTCAAACATAACATACAAAACTGTGCTCCTAAATACTTCTCCCCGAAAACCTGCTCTTCCTGCAGTCTCCATCTCAGCAAATCACCAAAAACCTTAGTCATTTTTCTCATAGCCTAGAATCCCTTTATCTTATATACTTTACTATATCCAATCTGTCAGCAAATACTGTCAGCTCTACAATAAAAATATTTCCAGAATTGAATCATTTATTTCTTTCACTGCTACCACTAACCCAACACCAATAGCTCATCTTATTATTGCACTACCCTAACTGTTTTCCCTGCTCTACCATTATCTCCATCGCTACCCTAGAATTTTTCTAAACAGAGCTTTGAGAGAGAACATGTAAATCCTAAGTTAGATCATGTCATTCTACTCAAAACTCTCCAAAGGCTATCCAACTTATTCCAAAAAAACTAAAAACTGTATAATGACCTATAAGGCCATAGGTAGCCTATCATTACCTTTCTAACTTCACTTCCTACTTGCTTACCTCATTCCAGCCAAACTGGTCCAAATTTTATTCTTCGAACATGCCAAGCTGAGTTATCTATTCTTTCATAACAAATTATCCCAAAATGTAGTAGCTTACAACAGAATTTATTATCTCACACACTTTCTGTAGGTCAAGAATCCACGTGTGGCTTAGCTGGATCCTCTGCTACAGTGTCCCTCCCAGGCTGCCATCAACAGCTGGGGCTATAGTCATCTCAGGGCTCAACTGGGTAGGGATCCACTTCCAAGCTCATTCATATGGTTGTTGACAGAATTCAATTCCTCATGGACTACTGGTCTGATAGCCTCAGTTCCTTGTGGGATGTTGGCCAGAGGCAACTCTGTTCCTTGCCACATGGGCCTCTCCAACATAGCAGCTTGCTAGATCAAAGCAAGCAATACAGAAAGACACAAGAGGAAGTGGTAGCAAAACACAAGTCAGGTTTTAATACCTGGTCTCACATTTCACCACTTTGCCATTCAAGAGATTACATAAAGGAAGGAATAACATGAGGTGAGGTCACTGGGAACTTTGCCTACTGTATCAAGTATGGCCCCAATGAGAAAGCATTGGTTGCTTCGAATATTCCTCTTCCAAATGTCTGCATGTTTTGCTCCCTCATGTTCTTCAAATTGTTGACCTTGTGTCACTTTCTGAATGACATTTCCCCTGAACACCTTTTTAAAATTGTAATTCCTACCTTCCAAACACTTCTCATCTTCTGTGCTGTTTTTCTCCACAGCACTCATTGACGTTAACATACCATATAATTTACATATTGTGATTGGCTTCTACTTTAGTTTAGCTAAGCTAGTCCTACATTTCCCTTCCCTTCCCTGAATAATTCCACGTTCAGAAAGACCACAGGAGACATTTTGTATGAGACCTGGCAAATCAAAGTAAAGCAGCATACACTTTTTACACTTGGAAGGTCAGTGTGGGGCATCAGGCAATGTTGCAGATCATGCAAGTTATCACTTATCTACTAATTGTCTTGTAAGTGTGGGGCAGTAGCCAGATCTATAGCTTCTTCAGTCATCCCAGATCTTCTGTTTCAACTTCAACAATCCCTAAGTCTGTGACAAAGGGCATCAGCTTCTCTTGCAGATCACCTCCATCATCAAAGCTAAACCCTTGAAACCAGGAAGAGATTGGTCCTGATTCTAGTTCATTCTCATGGATTACAGCTCATTCTTGTAGATGCCAATTTTCCTTGGTCCCTCCACTGCACAATTGTGTAAGGTCAGATTCTACATATATGATTTTAATCATATGTATTTCCTAGTAGTTCTGATTCTGATAGAACTCTAATACTCTTATTTGCATCTGTTTTCTGCCACTAAAATGTAAGCTCCATGAAATTTTTTTAAATTCTATTTTGTTTACTCTTTCTAGCCACAGCATCTATGACAGGACCTGGGATATAGTAGAAACTCACTATTTAGTCATGAGAATTTTTTTTAATGTACAGTACAAAGAATAAGTATTAAGGATGGCAAAAATGAGATGAGACCAATATTTTCTAATGTTCTAAAAGAAAGATTACTATAAAAAATAATAAGAACTGAGATGCATCTTAAAGGATGGGTAGGAAGAATGGGTAGAATATTCTATTCTATGAAATAGCATGAACAAAAATAGGAATGAGCATGCTAAGTGTAACATACATTGTATGTTGGCCTGGGATGAGGAATTTTACCTGATAATCAGTAGGAAAGTCATTACACTTTCTATAACAAGTGCTTAACATGTAGAAAATATTTCCAGAAATTTAATCTTTCATTAATATACTTAGTTGATTGGAAGAGAGAATTAGAAATGTAGGGAGACAGCTCAGACATATTATCTTAGATTAGCAGTGTGATATGGTTTGGATTTGGATTCGTGTCCCTGCCCAGTGTCGAACTGTAATCCCCAGTGTTGGAGGAGAGGCCTGGTGGGAGGTGATTGGATCATTGATTTGCCCTTGGTGTTCTTGTGATAGTGAGTTTTCACGAGATCTGGTTATTTAAAAGTGTGTTGCACCTCCCTCTGCTCTCTCTTCCTCCTTCTCTGCCCATGTAGGATGTGCCTGCTTCCCCTTCCGCCATGACTGAATGTTTCCTGAGGCCTCCCCAGCCATGCTTCCTGTACAGACTGTGGAACCATGAGACAATTAAACTTTTCTTTACAGATTACCCAGTCTCAGGTAGTTCATTATAGCAATGTGAGATCAGACTAATACACAATGTAACAATAGAGAAAAGGTAACTATAAAAATAATGTAAACAGTTGTAACTTGGCCACTGTAGAAATCATTAGTGCTATAATAATATATTGAAATACTTCCGATTATCTTCCTTCTAAGCACACAGTAGGATTCCATTTCCCCAGGCTTTTGGAGTTAGGTGTGGCCATGGAACTTGCTTTAGTCCATAAATATGAGTCAAAGTAACATATGTCACATCAGAATGGAATCCTTTAAGAACATAATGACTATTTTCCCTTCTCCCTTTATGTTGCCTAGAACCATTACAAATGGTGAAGGCCTCATTAGCCTGGTCTCTAACATGAACATAAGCATGACAAGAAACAAATCTCTGTTGTTTTAAGCCACAGAGATTTTGGATCTTCTGTAACTGCAACACAACTTCATCCATCCTGACTGTGACACTTTTAGAATTTGTCAACAAAATTTTATACTCCCCTCAAGACGGGCTAATTTCCCTCCCCTTGAATGTGAGCTGGCATTAATAACTAACTTCTAACAAGTGATGGTGTGTAGGCCACAATAAAAAGTGTTGGAGCTTCCTCTCTTGAGTCACTCACTCTGAGGAAAGCCAGCTGCCACGAGAATCATGAGGACAGTCAAGCAGCCCTATGGAGAGATTCACATGCTGAGGAATTGAGGCTTCCTGCCAACAATGAGCATTAACTTGTCAGGTCTGTGAATGAGCCACCTTGAAAGAGAATCCTGCCGCACCAGCCCCAGTCAAGCCTTCAGATGGCTGCAATGCCAGTCAACATCCTGACTGCAACCTCACAAGATACACTGAGCCAGTTAAGCTGCTCTTAGATTCCTGACCAACAAAAACTATTTGAGATAGTAAGTGCTTATTTTTTTTTAAGCTACTAGGCTTTAGGCTAATTTGATATACAGCAATCGATAACTAATACATTGGTTGATACAAAAATATATCAAATACTGAAAATAAAGGATAGGGAAAAATAAGAACTAATTTCTTTGCTTTGAACTTTGAATGATTTGGAAAACATTGTAATGGCACTAACTGTAAGTTACTCAATTATATTCTCAAGTCTTGAGGCAAAGGCCATGTCTGCTCAATAAACATTTGCTGGAGTCTAGTAAATGTTTAACAACTGAACAAGATGTTCAGAACTGACAAGAATATTTTAATATAGATAGGAGGGAACGTCCATCTCCTCTCTTTTGGACACTATGCTTTTTTTTTAACACTAGATCATACTGCAATACACTATACTTTTATTACTGCAGCAAAACCAATTTTTACAGCAGAAGTATCACGCTGCTAGTATACACTGGAAGTTTAGATTTGCTAAGTGTTTTAAGATAGAAATAAGTCCACAGGTTATTTCCTCACTATATTTTCTCCTATTCATCTCAGCATTCATATGACAGATGTGCCATTCTATGTTAAATTTTTCTGATGACTACCAGTTTCAACACTAAACCACAAAAGGAAAAAAGATATAGTGCAGGGAAAAGCATTGTTGAAGAATAAATATTCTATAATGAACTGTTCACTCCATGTATCAAAAGCAGAACTGAAATGTTACCTAGCCATCATTTGATCAGTTCTAACAGGTTCACCTTGCATTCTATCTTTAAAATCCTTAGGCTGGGCGCAGTGGCTTGCACCTGCAATCCTAGCACTTTGGGAGGCCGAGGAAAGAGGATTACTTGAGCCCAGGAGCACAGGAGATCAGCCTGAGGGCAATATAGTGAGGGCTTGTCTTTCAAAAAAAAAAAACCTTAAAAAAAAAGTAGCCAAGTGGTGGCACACGCCTAGCAGGAGGCTCGCTTGAGCCTAGGAGGTGGAGGTTGCACTGAGCCAAGATCATGCCACTGCACTCCAGGCTAGGCAACAGAGCAAGAATGTTTCTAAATAAATAAATACATAAAATAAAATCCTTAAGCCAATCTTCATTTACCAACCAATTTTTAATTCTTTTATTTGTTACCACATTGTCTCTCCTGAATATCCAAAGGCTCAAAGCCTTGGTTTGAATGCAGCTAAATTCATTGGGTTTGATCTCAAGTCAAACTTAGAAATACTGTCATCTCAGCCACAAATTTCACACTAAAGTAGATAGAAACCACTACTAAATCACTACTTTGTCTTAAAATGAAAGTATAATAGACTGTAAGGTTATAATTGCTTTTTTAAGTTAAACTTTGTTTTACATTTACAGAAAATTTGCAAAAATGGAGTCCCCACACCCCCTTCATCCAATTTCCCCTACCATTAATATCTTACAATACCATGGTATATCTGTCACAATAAAGAAATCGGTATTGGCACTATTACCTAAATTCCACACTTTGTTCAGATTCGCTAGTTTTCCATTAATGTCCTTTTTCTGCTGGAGATCCCAGCCAGGATACCACATTACATTTAATCATTATGCATCATTTTCTCTGGCATAATAGTTTCTCAGACTTTTCTTGTTTTTGAGTAGTGATTAGGTAATTTGTAAAATGCTAACCAGCGATCTCAGCTCACCATAACTTCCGCCTCTCGGGCTCAAGAGATTCTCCCACCTCAACCTCCCGAGTAGCCGGGACTACAGGCGTTCACCACCACACCAGGCTAATTTTTGTATTTTTAGTAGAAACGGGGTTTCGCCATGTTAGCCAGGCTGGTCTCCAACTCCTAACCTCAAGTGATCCGCCCGCCTCGGCCTCCCAAAGTGCTGGGATCACAGACGTGAGCCACCGCGTTCGGCCCCTTTTTCTAATATTGTCTAAAATAAGTATCCTAAACAGGAAATACCAAAAAAATCCCCCTCGCTTTCGTGACCTACACCGGTAAGCGTCAGGATCTTTCGCTATGCGAGAACCTTTTGGCTCTCGTATGTGCGCATGCGTCTGGATCCGGAGCCAGGTGACCCGCTCAGACGTGGACCATGTGCGGGGGAGGGGGGAAAGGAGCCGCGAAGGGGGTGGTAGACGGAACAGGTGGAGCCGCGGCGGGGCTAGGCGGGGCGGGGAGTGAAACAGCATAGGCTCCGCCCCTCGCGGCGCTTCCCCCGGAATAGCGTCATCAGTTCTATAAGAGAGCGTGTGCCGAAGGCCTCGGCCTTTCACATTCGGGAAGCGTCGGGATTAGGTGAAAGTACGTAGTTGTCTTTCGTAAGTTAAAATGATAATTGGGCCGAAACTTACTGCCTTACCTAAAAGGCAGCGCAGTCAGGATATTGGTAGGTCGGGGGCGGCTTTGGAAACCCTTAAGTTTACAAGCATGCGCGGACTTGAGTGCTCATTAGGTCGCCGGGCGTCCACGTGCAGCCCTGGACCCTGAACCCCGGCGTGCGTGGGCCGTGGGCCCTCGGGGAAAGGTTCCGTGCACTCGGGGACTCCGGTGAAGCCTGTTCAGCCGTCTGTGTCATGTGGCCATCTTGAGTCTACTCTGTCGCTCTTGTGCCCTAGCACCCCGAGAACCGTCAGTTTGAGCCAGATGGTGAGTAATAACCTGTAGCAGTTTGGTTGCTGGTTAATTCTGGATTGTGAATCTCCATGTATCTTTGGGACCTGTCAGCCGTGGCAGTCTCCCTTCCTAGCCATGGAAGAGCATATCCTTGTTTATTGGCAAAGCTGTCACCATTTAATTGGTATCAGATTCTGACTTGCACAAGTAACATTCACTGTTAAAAACCTAGAGGGTGCCGGGTTATTGGGCAAAATTTCTAAACCGTTGTTCAATGTTTCTAGGAAGCTGAGCTGAACACATTACGATGGATGATGGAAACATAAGGTACATTTCTTTTTTGATATTTCTGAGTTAATCTGAAACGCCTTAGCGGCAGGACGTTGGAAAGCTAAAGTTGGCCCGTTTTGCTGGCTTTTGTAGTTTGAGTTAACAACCAACTGAATTAGCTGATAAGATCTCAAAACAGTGAGGTAAGTACACAGCTCGGAGTTTTATAATGCTTTTTTTCTCTTGCAGACTATCAAGAAATCCAAGTGGTAATGGGCGAAGTTTATTCAGCATCCGGCAATGGACTTATCGTAGTTGGGGAAACGGGTGTTCCGAATAATATCCTGGAAGTTATCAGGACACCTATTTTAAATATAGGCCTGAATTTTGTAAAGTAATATTTAAGGTGGTCCGTGATAATTAAATAAAATGCTTAATTCATGTGGCTACTCATTGTTCCTTGACTGAGTGATTAATAGACGGAAAGGTAGTTAATAGCATAATACCTCCTATTTAGTGTTACACGCTCATGTGGAAGTAGTGTGAGTACAGTTCTAAGGTAATTGCAGCCTTTGTGAAAAATGTAAAATATAAAAATTACCAGGCTACCCCCAAGGGAGACAGCAGACTCTTTTTAAACCATACAAAAATTTAAGGCAGTTATACAAGGTGGAAAATTATGTATTTATTTACACAAATATGCACAGAACACTTGTATCTTTCAAAAGTCACACTTAAGACATAGTAAAAGCATGTTGTATGAACCATGTATTCTTAAGGATTGAGCAAACTGCAGGCTGCTTGCTGCCTTTTAGGTTTGCTAGTCCCTGATCTACTTGAAACAGATGTTGCTTGCCCCAACACTAGTTTAATTATAAGGGCAGCCTGTGAGAAAGTTTCAATAGACATTTTTCTCACCTATATTGCACGTTTTTCTGAAGCCCTTGTGCAAGTGTGTGTGCCATGTGTAGTTCTATTTACATATAAACGCTACTTTAAAAGTTTATCAAAATCATGAGTTTTTACAAAAGTTTTTAATGCTCTTCTGCATTATATGCAGCATTGCAAATCTGCAAAGTAGTAAAACTATAAAGCACCTTTAGGTTTGCACCAGTTATTACAGAAATGGGGATTTGTGAAAAGGATGTAATTTGATGTAGAAGGGCAAAGTCCTTTAATGACTGGCATTCAAGAGGATTACTTAAAACAATTTGTAAGTTCATGCTAACCTCTTCCCTATATTTATACTACTGGGACCTGGGGAAGGATCCATGACATGGAAGTATCTTGAGTGTGCCTTTTAAATTTGAGCATTACTGCTAAGAATGTTCTGTAAAGGTGCATAGTTAAGCAGCTATCCCTTAACTCTTGGAGAAATAGCCATAGGGAAACCAATCATTTAGGTAGGAGAACCATGGGGAAAAAAATCAGCATTTTTTCTGGAGTTTGGAATCAGTTTCACCAACTGGTCTCACTTTGAGGCAAGCCTGTTTTCCCCCATTTGAAAACAAGGGCTACTACCATAAGATTTACTGGCCTTTTGCAAATTGTCAGTGATGTGCAAAGCTGCCTAATGCAGTGCCTGGCATATGTTATAACTGCTGTATGTATTAGAACTTTTCAATGTGTAGGCCAGGAAAGCATTTTGACTAGTATATTTTAAGATTGGATTGTATCAGGTTGGGCTTGGGAAAACCTGCAGGTATAAGTCAGTTACAGGGAAGTGTCAGTGGGTGGCACTCTTACATCATGGTCGGGGAACGTGGACTATGATGAGGTGCTTGTTAAAAGCAAATATAGTAGATATGTTAATGTGTTGGATAAAATAGGTTGTATGTCCAGCTGGCATTTAGTTACCAGAAATCCTTTCAAATTTTGCTAGTTTATACGCTGTAGGTAGAAAGTATTTTTATCTTATGGTTTCTGTAGCACTTGGTACTCAACAAGGATACTTGTTTCCAAATATCAGATCACTTTGAGAATATATTGTGACAGGCAGATGTCCTTGAGGCTTTACTACTCCTATTCAGGCCTAAAAGTTTATAGTGGAATTCTTTAACCACTGATTTCCTCACTTGACAAAGGCTACAGAGAATATGAAGATTTCTTGTCAAGTCTTTTGAAAAGACCTAAGCATAAATATGCCACTCATGAGTGTAGTAAAGGGTACCGCATTTATGTCAAATGTGGGTATTTAATATGATTTCAGACACCACTGATTCAATTAAAAGGGGTTCTCAGTTCAAATGTAAAAATGATCTTTTGTAAAATCAGCATAGAATGATTTTGAGAAATAGGTAGGGGATAGATGAGGCTTAGAATAAGTCACTCCAGTGAAATTAGGGTAGAAAATGTTCATTTAAGGATTATCACTTCCACTACACTGAGGCCTCTGAAAATGTTCACAAATTTCTCAAAAGCAGCAGGGGGTACACAATTTTTTACCACAACACAAAGCAAAAACAGATCTTGCCATTTGTTGTCATCTCTGCTGAGTGCTAATAGTGGGGGTTCAAAGTTTTCCATTTGTTTAAATGCTGCTTTGAAGTTTCCATGAAGAATTACAGTTTGGTGACACTTTTTATCCAAGGTACAAAGGCTGAGACTTTGGTATAAACACCAGGAGAATCCTTGACTCCACAGCCATACCCCCAGGAGGTCACCCCATACACCACCCAGCTCTCTCCGGGCCGTTCACACATGAGTGGTCCTCCGCTGTCTCCCTGGCAGCTGTCCACGCGTTTGTGTTCATGGAGGTTTCCAGCACAAAGCATTCTCCCTGTAAACCGACCCTTATAACGTTCTTCACAAAACCTTTTAGGAAGTAAGGGAATGGCTGCTTGTTGTAGTGTTCTTGAATAGGCTCGTCCTACTCAGACCAAACATCTGATTAGTGGCATTCCAGATAACCATCGCAACATTTAACAGTTACTGAGCATGTAATAGTTATGAAAATAAAATCCCTGTTGTGGCATTAGTGTAGTTTAAAATGAGCAATGACTAACTGGTATGTACTATTGTTAGCTGCCTTTTTTAATGTTGACACAATCTTAACCTTCACAAATTTCTCAGTACTGAATTGTCTGAGGAATAATGAATAACATTTATGGATTTGTAGAGTAAGGTGACCTAAGAAAGCATATTTGTGCAGGCTTTCGTATTTGAATTCTGTATATTAAAAAGCATAGAATGCATTAATGCTGGTTTCGCATTAGCACATCAATTCATATCTACTTCACTGAATTAAACTGAGTTCTCAGTTTATGCTAAAGTTCTCATTAGAACCAACAATACCTCCAGAATATAAGTCTCAATTACATGCATGCATTTCACACTAAGCAAAATTTCTCCAAATAAGTCTGAATCCATTTAAGATCTTATTGCCCATTGCACACCCAAATATATGGATAATACCAGACACAAAAAGGTGCCCTGCTTTTTTTGATTATGCCTTACCTGTGTCACCCCATCCTGTTATGTAACAGTTGGATGCTGTTTTCTGTGGCCTCTCTCTCCAGAGTGGTAAACAGGCTGGCAAAACATGGCTGCTGAATCTGGCACATTGCTCTTCTGGTCCTTGTAATCTAACCAGGGCTATGTCATAATCACTGCGGTCGGGTCGATACTCCCGATGAATCACAATCTGTTGAACTCCAATTTCTTCCTCAAACTCCTCTGGTACCAGAGTATGATAATCTCCAACCCTAACAGCATAGCTCCTAGTGCTGTTGCCATACCTGAGAGGCAGAGAGTACTAATGAGAGACTTGCTTCAGATACTGAAAATTATTGTCAAGAAGGAAGACTAATGAAGATACAAGCCTTTCTTCCAAATCATCAGCCCCTTTTGTAAATTCAACCTTTCTTTCCATTTATCTGACCCACCATTCCTGATCCTCTACTGCAAACCCATTGTCATAACCTCATCTTCATTTCATTATGTAATCTGTTCTCCAAGAAGGAGCAAATGTGGAGGATGAGTGGAAAATAAAGACTAATCATTAATCTGTCATTTCCCAAATGAAAAGCGATCAAAACAGGAATAGGTCAAAATTATTGTCCTGTGTTGTTGCCCTGTTATTTCCAAGAATTGTTAGTTTGTCATGAAGCTCTGTGAGGGCAGAAACTAACTTTGTGTCCCTCAAAGTACTTAGTACAATCGACTTCACTCTTGCAAGGTGGACTTAAACTACTTCCCTTTCCTCTAAAGTGAATGCAAACCCAAACTATACTTTCAGATAAACATATATTCCTTCTATCCTTTCCCCTCTTTTAAATCTTTATTCAGATGTCACCTCAATGAAGCCTACTTTGACACCCTCGTATTTAAAATTGCAACCCATCTTTCTTTTTCCTCCCATCATCAAACACTCCCAATATCATTCATCTCTACTTTTCCTCGTTTTTAAGCATCACTTTGTAACAAAACTATCTAATTTACAATTTATTGCATTTATCCTCCTCCCTGCTTGAGTCAAAGCTATTCCAGGTCAGAGATATCTTTGTTGTGTTCACTGATTAATCTAAAACACCTAAAATAGTGTTGTGCCATTAATTAGGAATGCAAAAAATTGATTAAGTTAGTGAATGCTTATTATTAATGTATACTTTCTATAGTCCATTAAAATAGAAGCAATATTTACCAGATGGATAGTTCTCAGCCCATTTTTCAGCCATCATACTAAAGTATGATGATTCTGATACCAAACCCACCTAAAGCAGGGTTTCTCAATCTCAGAACCTATTAACATTTTGGACCAGGTAATTATCTGTTGTGAGGGCTGTCCTGTGCATTATAGTGTGTTTAGAAGCATCCCTGGCCCCTATTCACTAGACGCCACTGGTACATGGTACACAAACCCTCCATCCCCAGTTGCGATTACCAAAAATGTCTCCAGACATAGTCACGTGTTCCCTGTTAGGCAAACTGCCCCCAGTTGAGAACCTCTGACCTAGAATGCATGACACAACCCATCTCCTAGTTACTTCCTCTTTTTCACAGAAGACTAGAGCTCCATGCTCATTGCATTCCACTACTTATAACATTCTTAAGACTTAATTTCCAATAACTTTTCCTTTGTAGTTCCCTGACTTACTCATCTGCAATGAGTGTATTCTCCACCTCATCTCAGCCACACACTTACAATGTAAAACCTAGACCTTGTATTCACCAGGTAACCACACACCTCTGAAATCTTGATTTCACACATACCGTTATTTCTGCCTTCTGTTTTTACAGCTCTAAAATCCTTCAAACCCATTGGACTTCTATCCTTTGGCCCTACTATTTTTTCATTTTAGTCTTTTATGACTTCCCTTATTATCTGGCTTGGGTTCTACCGTCTGCCCATTACAACAATCACTCGAAAAACTACCCTGCTTGTCTTTTACCTGCCAAAACTCCAGCCCTGGTTTCATCAGCTCTACCTATTTTGTGCCGGCATCTAACTGTTAAAGTGGGGAAGCACGCATGTAACAACTTTCACCTTAAATTTTTTTTAACCAAAACTTGGGTCTTTTATTGTTTACAAGACCTGTACTTGAATGTGAACTTAGAACTGAGTTGGTATTCAAAAGCTTGGCATTTTCTAGTGTCTATTTAAAATAAAACTTCCCACTTCTATAAAATTACTGGAGGTTATGAGATGCCTGAATATTCTAATCCTTAAGTAGGGCTCTGACCATCTCGTATATATGATTAACTGTCAGCGCTCAAAAACTAAACAGTGCAATAAAGATGATTTGGCTTATATAGCCACCTACTGTTGATCTTTAATATTAATAGTTAATCTGTGATTTCTTGAGACTCAATCTTAAATCATCACATATCTTTAAAGTTCAGAGGCTTTTTAATATATTGTGCCTAAAGTATATGCTCTTATAGCTTCCTTGAAAATTTAAGTAAAATTTAGGATTATTTCACATACTGAACTAAAAAGTAATAGGCATGGAGAGTAATCAAGTACTTATTTTCACTTCTACTTTCTGTGTGCTAGTAATATCGCTAGTATATTCATTAAATTTTATTAACAGTACATTCACATATTTAAAGTAAAACCCCAAATGATTTAACACTTTTCCCACAAGAATTATTGTAAATACATCCTTGAAAGTACTGCTGAAATGTTGCATTTATCTTTTTAATAGAATTTAAGAAATTATCTAGAGCTGTAGTGCCCGATATAGTAGCCACTAGCTAACTGTGGTTACTGCAGCACTTGGAATATGGTTAGTCTGAATTGAGATGTGCTGAAAGTACAAAATACACAGAATTTTGAATACTTAGTATGAAAAAAAAACTAAAATATTGTCCCTATAGATAATAAGAATATTAAATATCTCAACTTTTCTATTAGTTACATTTTGCAATG
This sequence comes from Homo sapiens, assembly GCF_000001405.40. Classification (NCBI taxonomy): domain Eukaryota; kingdom Metazoa; phylum Chordata; class Mammalia; order Primates; family Hominidae; genus Homo; species Homo sapiens. The sequence goes on from NC_000004.12 coordinate 118,285,745, forward strand.
ATAATATTTTAGATACACTATGTTAAATATATTATTTAAAGTACTTTGACCTGTTTGGGTTTTTATCTTTTTTTTTCTTTTTTTGAGACAAGATTTCACTCTGTTTTAAGTCTTATTGCAACAGTATTTTCCATTCTGTAAGAAACAGCTGTGACGCTTGGCTAAATTAATCTTTGCAGCTAAACTGGCTGTATAAATCTATTCCGCATTATCTATAAAAATTGAGTCTTCAACCAGTAAGCAAAGAAACAGGACATTACTAGCACAGGCAATTTATTTTTAAAATAATATCAATGTTAAAGCCCTGGGCAATCTTGCCTTAATGTGTCATTTCATGCCAAGACTATTGCAGTAGTCGCCTGAATGGACTTGCCGCTTCAAGTTTTAAATTTTTCAACCCATCCCTCATGCTGCCGCCAGAGTGATGTTTCTGCCTGATAATATAACTCCTTCTGAGTACCCTTCAAGGGATCCCCAATCTATGTGAAATTCAAATTCCTTAAATGATACACAAATCCATCTAAGAACTGGTCCTTGTTCCCCTCTCTGATACCAGCCTGGCCCCTGTGCTCCTGTCATTTACACCGTTTGAAGAGTTGTCTTACAAACCCACGTCATTATCCAAACTATGTGCAATGTTGTTTCTCTCATCCCCTCTATCCTAATATGGCAAAACCTGATTTTGTCCTGATCAAGTCAAAGATCTCCTAGGAGGCTCCTCCTAATCTTCTGCTCTCCTGAAAGCTAGCCAATCCTTTTGAACACTCTCAATGCATATGTAACAGTTTCTAGGACTTAATTAAAGGCTTTTCAAGGGCAAGGACCATGTCATGATCACTATTGTATCCTTAGCACCCAGCAAAGTGCTTGGCACAGAGAAAGCGCTTAATAAATGTATAATGAATGAGTTATTTTGAAAGACATTCATGTCCACATACATACACTCTCATCCCTAACTTACTGAAATTAAAAAGAGATCTTATCAATTACCATATTATAACAAAACTATCAAAAAATGTTTCTATTTCCTATAAAAACCCCATGAAAATCCATGGGGTTCAGATCCACCGTCAGACTTGGGAACCACTGAACCAAAGACTCAAAAGTGTGGGCATAACTCCTGCCCGTACATGCCCAGAACTTCACTGGATGAAGTAAGCATCCTAAGAGATTACTAATAGAAACCAAAATGCAAAAAGCATACATGTTCCATACATACACTGTGTTCCTGGATCAAGTAGATTTTGGCAGGTAAACCCCAGAATTTGTATGCTCACCAATCAGCAGTTTATATTAAACTGAGAATAAAAATATTTACCTAACAAAAAGGCGAACAGTACCATTCTTGTCAAAATGAAGTTGTTAGTTCATATGTATATATGGAATACACACACACACACATCTTTTTTTTCTTTTTTGAGACAAGGGTTCACTCTGTTGCCCAGGCTGGAGCGCAGTGGTGCGATCACGGCTTACTGCGAGCCTTGATCTCCTAGGCTCAAGCCATCCTCCTGCCTTAGCCACTCAAGCAGCCGGGACCACAAGTGCATGCCACCATGCTCACTAATTTTCAAAAATTATTTTTTGTAGAGATAGGGTCTCACTATGTTGCCTTGGTTGGCCTCAAACTCCTGGGCTCAAGCGATCTGCCTGCCTTGGCCTCCTGAAGTGCTGAGATTATAGGTACTGCACCCGGCCAAGTACCTATACTTTTAAAGTTGTCCTAATTTAGGGAAATGTACCAGCTAAACCTAAGCATGGAGTCTCACACTCCTTTAACTCCAATTATTCTTAGAATATATTTTGTGCTTAGAATTTGAAGAGCATCTGACACAAGATTGGAATAGTTTTCCAACCAAATTTTTGTCTTCTAGTGTCACCTCTCCTAGTGGGTATGATTATATGCTTTAGGGATAACACTTTGGCTGAAGTACTCAATATGTGTGTGGACTTCAGAAGTATCTATTATGGTTCTAGGCTTCTCAAGACAACATATAAAGCAATCCTCTTTTGCAATGTATTTTAAGGTCTTTCTAGTTGAACTTTTGTTATTTTGATAGACTTTATTTTATCCAAAAATGCTTCTAAAACAAACATTTCAGGTTTTGGCTGACACATCATTCAGTTGTTTGCTTTGCTGAAATGCCTTCAACTCCCCCTCAAATAAAAATTGGATGAAATTCCCAGACAAGTTTGAGCAAGAGAGGATCTGAGACACAGTAGTTTATTAAAATCCAATGTCCAAGTTTCTCTGAGACTCTGAGGCTAAAGTAAACAACAACAACAACAAATTACTAGAATTAAAAGTAGAATTAATTCAGGTTGCAGGGTCATATTCTTTGTGTTTCTTCTCTACATGGATTCGTCTCTACAGGAAAACAGTATTTTACATCAGGCCATGCACATCTGCTACTACTAAAATCTGTTTTTCCTCTCTGGATGAAACTCAAAAAGTAGTTGACTGAAGTTGTTTATGTAAATGGTTCCAATTGCTTACAGAGAAGTAAACCTCAGTAGAATCTTGCGTTAGCCCTTACACATACACAAATACTATGTGTACTACAGAAATAGTTTTAGCATGATTGGTGATATGTGTATTACCAAAGGCTATGTTCCTAAGAGCTCTGCTCTACCATATACTATGTCATGATGAAACATATATTAGGCATCTGACACACTGTGTTCTTAAAAAGTAAGTCCCATTACCTCTGTGGCCATCTCTCTAATTAGAAATATCTAGTCATTTCTAACAATTTCCAGCTACTATTGCATTTCTAGGGCAAAAAGTCAATGAGATAAAGTCAGGTAAAGTTATATTCTTGAACAAGTCCACTTTGGAGTAAAATTACAGAAATAAGAAAGCCCTTGTTTCAGGTACATTTATTCCTGCAAAATCAGGTTTGTTATCAGAATAAGCAATTAAAAGAAATTAATATTCAGGAATTTTTGTCTCAGTTATATTGCTGCACCACAATAGACACGCAAGGCAATTTCATGGTACTTGTAGTTACAATCTAGAATAGAAAGCAAAAATTAGCAATTTATATTATGTAAGATTCACAAGCCAGTTACAAAAGAACTTAATTTAACAAAGTTTCCAATTCAAATTGCCAACAGGCTACTGCATTCCATGTGTATTGCATTAACATTAAGAAAAATGTGAAAAATGAGATAGCCTTTAAATAGTGATTTACCAACTACTTCAGGTGCGCTTGTTACATTGGCATGGAAATGTGTGAAAGCTATGAGGGAATAAGAGTTGAGTTACGAAAACTTTGCCAGCCTTCACATAAAGCACCCTTAAAGAGACTACTCCACATGAAATGAGTGTAACTGAGGCTAGCGGCATTATGGCATTAATATGGCAGAGTGGAATTATGGCATTTTGATCTCATCCTCATCAGGCCACCATTCCTAGATTATTCTGATACAAAGATTATATAAAAGAGTGACTATGCTATGAAGGCAAACAAATAAACATAAAAAGTTCTAATCCTGTATAATTAAATAACACAAATGGTAATAACGATCTATGCCTTATTGTCCAGAAATGGCTGGTCAAGAACATTGGCCTACATCACTGCAAGAATTAGGTACCAAGGAAGCTCTGATGAACAAGAAATCTTTAGGTATACAGAAGCCCAGTAGTTGATAAAGCAGTGGAAATGTCAAAAGGGGGTGAGGGGAAGCTAATTTCAAAATATGAAATCCCGTTCCCCTACCTATAGGCCTTATATTAAACTAAGGTATCTTTCACCTGGCATCTAAAAGGACAGGAACCTCTCAGAGCCCTACTACATTGCTTCTAGATTACAGTCTCTATTTTGCAAATTTCAGTGTTTCTGATGATGAAAGGAGGATTTGTTTTAAGCAAAAGTCCCTAAATCTAGGAAAACAAAATTTGGAGCTTGTTCTAATCACTAGTAACTAGCTGTATGCCTTTTAATAAACTTACATCAATAAAGATGTGAGCTGTAGCCTCCTTAGGCGCTTCAAACAGGAAGTCTATGAAATCCGGCAAAGGTAAAAGCCAAGTCAGAAGGATATATAACACATTTGCAAAGCAGTTTTTTCCCTACTCACATTAAAAGAATCTTGTATTATAGCCAAAGCATATCAAAATGCTGCATATCATAATCTGCTCCTCTGCTCTTTAATCAACTATTTTTATCTTAAACTGTGCAAATAATGAGAAGAAATTCCAAAGGACATATGGAAGGAATTATCTGTTGATCTCAGTTTGAAAATATCATCATCCTCTAAAAAGCCCAACATTCTTAAATAATTCACTATCTGGCAACTGAGCCACCACTTTCATCATGTAACAATCATTCAGAGTATCTACTATGTGCCAAGTCATACAGTAGACACTTGGTGTATAAACACAAATGAGAAATGAGACGATTACTGACTTTAAGCAATAATCAAGACAGAGCAGGCCAAAGGAGAAATAATGACATGTAAACAAATAAATCCAAAAATAACAACAACAAAAAAAAGAGCCCATCCAGGGAACCCAAAAGTTAAAGTGTTTAACCTCAAGTGCAACTTTTGAGCAATCTTCCTACTTTAATACTTTAAGCCTTGAACTCCTATGACTGTAACTTTTGGCTGAAATTTGAAAGACAAGAAATCTTGAATAACAGGAAGATAACAGATTATTTTGCTTAAATTCAAAGCCCCAAAATAGGCTTCTTCAAGTTCTTTGCAATTTTATACCTTATTCTTCTCCATTAGTAAGTGAAATAAAATAATCCTCAGTTCCCTACTTTCACTAATATAGTCTTCAATTCTTGCCTTTAAACTCCAACATAAAAATAACCAATATTTGTTTTGAATTTTAGAGGTTATAAAATACTTTGACATACTTTGCAGATCATTTGTTTCTCACTGTGGAACATTATTATCTTCATTTTACAGATGTAAAATGACGTAACCTGAGACTCCAAGAGGTTAAATAATTTCTGCAAAGTTAAACAATTAACAATTGGAAGAGCTAGAATTGTAAACCTGGTCTTGGTGGCCAGATCCAAGTCTCCTTCTGTTGTATTGTACCAGGCTCTACTGATTTCTAACAGTCTCTCTACCTTCACTCCCTCCTTTCCTTTTCACCTATTTCTATTATTACAATAATCTTATAACTGGTCTCCCTCCAGTATAAAAGTATAAAATTAGGTCCCTTCCTCACAGTCCCTCCAGTTCCTACTTAAATCATTTGGTAACACAGACCAATTTGCCAGAAAAAGGCATGTAAGTACAAACATATACAAAGATTTTTTTAATATAATGTCAAGCCCATTCACAGACGCCCCCCTAGATTAATAACTTTGCCTTACCCCCTCAGATATATGCCACAAATCTCCAAATGACTCATCTCCTGAAACTCTTCCTTGATCATCTTTCAAGGCTCAAAACTTTAGTGGTTTCCCACTACCTAGTAAATGAAAGAGGAATCCATAACCCTGGCATCCCAGGCCATTCTCGTCTCTCTAAGTTCACTAACAAATCCCAGATCCTGTATTCTAGGTAATAATTGCCATCCCTCAAACATAGCTTTTGCTTTCTCACCACAGTACTCTAAACACTACATCTTATCTACCACCAGCCTCTACCTTCACATGAACCTAAGCTCTCTCTGCTTAAACAGACTCCTTAACAGAACTCACTTTTCCTCCCACATATAGCCCATTCCATCTTTGAACTGTCCTCGTGTCAAAGAAATAAAAAATAAACAACAGAAAACTCTTTTTTGTGTTAAAGCAAAAATTATCTTATCTCCCTTTAACATTTGTGGTATCTGAAGCAAAAGGCAACAAATCTAATCCAGTCCCACACAATCTTTCCTTTCTGCTTGCCCTTCTTAGAGCACCATGTCCTTTTCTCATTGTGTGGCACACAGAACTGAGCACAGTTCTCTGTTTGATGGACACAGTGCTTTTCTCCCTGACAGTTGCTTGAGCACAGAAAGACAGAATAGCAAGGTTCTTCACTGCTTTGTCTGGACACCATTCGTCAGTGCTACCCAAGACTGAATTAATTTCATGGGCAACCATATTGTATTGCTGAGTCTTATTAAAGTTGCAGGACGCTAAAACCAGTGAGTTTTTCACTTGTGCTGTATTTCAGCCAAATTTCCTGGAACTAAAGGCAGCATTTTATTTCATCCTTATTCCATATTGCTTGTTAGAATCAGCCTATCAAGATATTTTGCCAGGTGAGGGGAGGGAACTTGGAGGACCAGTCAATAAGTGCAGCAAACCACGATGACACGCGTATACCTATGTAACAAACCTGCACGTTCTGCACATGTATCCTAGTTTTTTTTTTAGAAGAAATTTTTAAAAATTGGTCTTCCCATATATGAAAAAAAAAGATATTTTGCCATCATGATCCTACCTTCCAACATATTACTTGTCCCTCCCCTTCTTCTGGCACCCAAAAATATAATCAATTTACCATCAGTGTCCTTTATCAGTTTAGCAATTAATATGTTGAACACGACAAAGATAAGCATCTGTCAATTCCACTTATTCTTCCCCATCATCATTCTTCAACTACGTCTCCTCTAAGCAAGTGGGTCTTAACCTAAGCAACTCCTGGGTCTCATCTCCAAAGATTCAGCAGATTTAGAGCAGGGGCTCAGGAACCTGGACTATTAACAAGCTAAATGAATCTAACATTTTGGTAAAAATATCTCACTTTAAAAATGGTGCCCTAAACTTTTTCTGGTCATATCAGCAAAGTCAACATCTCCTTCCTCTCAGCTCCTATAACTACATAGTAAACTCTGTAACAGCAAGGATTCTATCTGACTTGTTCTCCACTATATCTCTAGTACATAGCAGGTGCCTGAGAACATTAAGGGCTCAATAATTATTTGTTAAGTGAATGAATTAATATGATCTTTATTGTTCATGCCACTCAGGTAACACAGGAATGTGTTAAACCCACTAGTAAACAGGTGGACTCTGAAGCTCAATTATATCCCCAAATAGCCACTGTTATGTAAAATACAGGTTTGATCAGGCTGGGAAGCAAGGCGGGCAGATCACTTGAGGTCAGGAGTACAAGACCAGCCTGGCCAACATGGTAAAACCCCGTCTCTATTAAAAATACAAAAATTAGCCAGGCATGGTGACGCACACCTGTAATCCCAGCTACTCAAGAGGCTGACGCGGGAGAATCCTTAAACCTGGCAGGGCAGAGGCTGCAGTAAGCCAAGATCGTGCCACTACACTCCAGCTAGGGCAACAAAGTGAGACTCCATCTCAAAAAATAATAATAATAATAATAAATAAATAAATAAAATACATATTATCTGCAGCACCTTGAATGTGGAAGATGACTGCACAAATATTTACTGAAGTACAAAAATGGAAGAAAACAGAGATCCTAGGAACAAGGATATATGAGAATTTGGCATATGACAGCATAATCAGTGGGTAAAGACTAGAATATTTAATAAAAAAATGCTGCGAAAACTATCCATAAAGAAAAGTATAAGATTAGGTCCTTTCTTCATACCATATACTATAAACAAAAATAAACTGGAAAAATTAAACTTCTAAATATTAAAAGCAAAACTATAAAGGTAATTTTTAGGAAAACAAATAAGAGAATATCTTCACCAAATGGGGCAAAGATTTTTTAAATAAGAAATACAAAGCTTTTGTAAAACTTTTAAGAAAATGATGACACTTTTAAATATATGAAGACAGTTTTGTAAGAAAAAGGCCATAAACAAGTAAAAGGACAAGGTCCAGACTAGGAAAAAGTACTTGTAACACCTAACAACAAAGACTTAGCACACAGAACATATCCAAAAATTTAAAAAATCAATTACAAATAGACAAATAGCCCAATACAAAAACAGGCAAAGTATATGAACAAAGAATTCATGAAAGAGGAAGACATTGGTCAGGGAAATACAATTAAAAAGAAACCCCAAAACTTTGTGATTGGCAAAAAATTTAAAATTTTGATAGTATCAAGTTTAGGTGGAGTGGTGAGGAAACAGGAACTTACACATTGCTGGGTTATAAACTGATACAATTTCTTCAAAGGATAAATTGGCAAGGCTTGAAAAATTGAAGGGAATCCATATTCCAGGACCCAGAAAAATGTCCCCATGTGCACACACCCAGTGAGACTTGTACCTGGTTGTTTATTGCAACATTGTTTTCTATCAATGAAAGAATGGAAAGCAGCTAACTATGCAGCAACAGGCGAATAAATAAACTGGTTCAGTCTTTCAATAGCAGTTAAAATTCATGGAGCAGTTAAAGTGAATGAACAAATCTGCATGGATGGATCGTAAGTACATAATGAGGCAAAGGTATGTACCGTATGATATCACATAAGAAAAAACAGAAAAATTTCTGCTTGCAAAAATGTTTCAACAATGTGGTACACATTTTTTTAAAACTTCATTGTGACAATGTTCAAAACACAAAATTAAAATAGTACAATGAAACTCTGTACTCAACACATTGCTTTAATAATTATCAATATTTTGACAAGCATTGGTATACATATTTAAATACCAAAATTAATGCTGAGGAAAGGGCCATTAACCAAGGCCCACAAAAAAGCACTAAACAAGAGAAAGTAGAGCCAGTTCTACTGCAGGATCTGCCACCATGAGCTCCGTGACTCTGGTGACTCTGCATGACCTCTCCTCTGAACTGGGAAGACTTCAGAAAGGACTGATAAAATGTTTGGGACAAGAAGAAATAATCAGGACTAAACTATAGGAAACCAAGAATGAAACATATGCAACCTTTCTCAAAGGTACAAGACACCAAGACTCAAAGAATCAAAAACACTACAACTGCATTCCCTAGTCCTTATCATTATAACTAAATAATCCGAGGTCTATTCTACCTCCACAAAGATATAATTTCAGCCTCAGATACGTTCTTGGGGGGAGCACTGACATTGCTGCCTCCTCTCCAAAAACCCCTGTTCTTCTATTCTCCCTAAATCCAGAGTTTGTTTTAACACCAGGGTAGCAAGTGGCCTTCTAAGGGCTCTCTTTGCTCCTTTTGTCACTCCCTCATTCCACAGGGCTGCTGGCACAAGCAGCGAAAGCTCATAGCCTGGCTCTGACACCTTGAGTGCTGTAGAGCATGAGGGGATTGGAAGAACTGATGAATAGAAGCTACACTAGGTTGTTTGGGAAGGTGGACACATACCTCTTGAAACAGTGTGCTGCTGTGAGGACCCAGCAGCTACTCAGGAGCGTAGCCCCGCAGAGGAGCCTGCCATCTCCATGGGATGACTTCAGCCGGAGGGAAACCTGCCAAGGCCAACCACCCCTAAGAAGAAAATGAGCTACACATCAACGTCAGTAAAAGGCAAAAAAGCAAAGGAAAGCACTGGTTAAAGCAATGGCTTTAATAACTTTAATGCCTTGCAGGTGGGGGAAAAGGAAAGCAAAAGGGACTCCAGGATACATCCCTTCCTACTTTGAGAAGGAGACCCCACAACTCTGAGCAGGCCCAGCATCAGCAACTCTAAAGATTTGCTTATAGGCATTTGTATAGATCCCACCTATCTGACACTCTTAGAAACAAGTTGTCTTCTTTATATTTCATGATTTAAAGTGTAATTTCTCTCCTCACTCTACCTCGCCTATGCAGTCTGAAGAAGTATTTAATAAAGTTTTCCATGAGTAAATTCTACAAACAAAAAACTTAGATTAAACTGAGTCAAGTCTGAAACAAATACATTCTAAATTAGATGAATCTTTGTAGTTACACACACTTCCAGGTCTCCTGTTAAATTATTTTGTTTCTGCCATATAACTTTTCAGCAACACATCTAATCTCTTAAATCAGGCTGGTATAAGAACATGGTGTATACCAAGTAAACATAGGTCAAAGGACAGTGAAATTATCAGTGAAATCTGAATTTAGTTTAGAAAATAAAATGAGTACAAGTCCCTTATATAACAGAACATCCCCAGTTTGTAACACTCTATGTATATAAATAATTCTGTAATATAAAAAATCTCTTTTGGAGGAACATTTACCTTAAAGAATTTTTCCCACCAATGATCCGCTTCTGCCGACGGTGCAGTAATCTCAAGCCACAAACAGATGAGAGGGACTCTGAAGCAGAAATAGGTCATTAATTAAACTATCACATTGCTGACAGAGGGGTAAGACGATAAGTGACATACTCCACTGATGCTTCCTCCTCTATGTCAAAATCCCTTTTCTCTGCAAATTAAAATTTTTCTTGTAACAAAAATAGTTTTCTCATTTGACTAAATGACAATAATTTGCAAGTAGACAAGAAACATTATGAGGTTTCCCATTCTTCACCTCTGAGGGGTTCATGGGCTGCTGACTGGTTTGACTCTGTCCAGTACTTTATCCTGGTAGGTACCTATATCTCCTGCTGCTGCTATTTGGTGTAATGTATGGAACAAAATGTATGGAACATTAAACAAAATAAGAGAACTGCAAAGGCAGTAATGGCCTAAATTACTTACTTTCCACATGCAAGACTGTTCTAAGTCACATAAAAAAATGTAACTCAGAAGAGCAAAGCACATTCCCAGGCTAGAATTCTGATCTGAATTTACATTTACTTAGCATGTCAACATACGGAAAGGGTTTGCTAAGCCAATTGAAGTGGTAAACTATGGTTAAGGGTATACAGGCAAACCTCCCAAGGTAACAGACTTCTGTCAAGAACATACAAAAAAGAAGAATTAAATTAAAAATATATAAAAAGGTGGTATATGAAAGAAAGGCAAATGCAACAGGTATGACTAATTTTTAAAATATTTGAGAAAACAGGAGAATTTATATAGAGGTACTTTGTTTCTTTGGTTAAATATATGTGTATAAAGTATAGATATGTACTGTTTTTCTATCTAAGAGGAGGAGGGTGGGAACTGTGCCAAGTACAGGAAGACCTAATCAACACTAATGGTCTCCCATAATAACCAGGTAGAAGGGAGCCCAACAGGGAATCAGCAATAGTTATTTCTTGGTGGAGAAAGACGTTCAACAATGTGTACCAAGATGATTAATTTGCAAAATGATCTCAGAGGTATGCTTTCAAACTTTAACCTTCATTTCTTACAATATGAGTCCTCTAGATGACACTGCAAATTGTAAGATATTAGAAAAAACATAAGTTTCCAATAATGCTCCAAGTTGGGTCAATGTATATGATGCCAAGAAAAGGAATGATGTAATGTTTAAAACAAGCAAAATTTTAAGTTTACATCATTCTGGGGCAAAGAACCAGCCTGCAAGAAAGTAAACTCTATTTAAAGTCATACACTATTATTTAAAATTTTTTAAAAGAAAAATGAAGTTCATTTATAAAAGAAACCCATCAGATGACCAATAACCAATGGCTTCAGTTTGAATCACCTTATAGATGTCACCAGGTCCTGAGTATCAACATAAAATCAACTGGTTAATATGCCAGATTCTGTAATCTAGCTGGGCTAAGATGAAATCTTTTTACTTGAAGTATGGTAGCATTGCCATAACCATGGAAAGATATCAAAAAGAATATTGCTATAATTCTAGGAAGGCATTAAAAACAAACATATAAATAATGTTTTTTATGTTTTTCAACTGCTTACGGAATTTCACATAATTCAAAGAATCAGTTATATCCCATTTGTAATGGTAATTTAAATTATTAAAGGGAATTCAGTAAATTAAGTTATAATCAGTATTCAGGGGAAAGAGCTGGCCAAATCATTCACATATATACATATATCTATACACACATTCATATATAAAAATATGTATATATATTTAATATATATGAATAGAAAATAAAGTGAAAAGGATTGTAAGTGTTCTTTTCACAATCAGAAGCCCCTCAGACAGCAAAGAATCATATTAACGACATCCAATTCACTTATTGCATTGTCTTTGGCAGTTATTAAAAGGTGTTAGAAAAAGAGAATCCTCAAAATACAGGTGCACCTGATTTTAACAAAATCCAGTGTATCAGAACTATAAACTTTCAATCCAGATAAAGAGGCAACTGTTCTTTTCATAAAATGTACCACAAATTTCTCCAAAATAGCTCATTCTCTCAGTCATTTAAAGAATGTTTCATAAAAATTAAATAGGCCAGGTGTGGTGGCTCACGCCTGTAGTCCCAGCACTTCAGGAGGTTGAGGTGGGCGGATCATCTGAGGTCAGGAGTTCTAGACCAGCCTAGACAACACGTGAAACCCCCGTCTCTACTAAAAATACAAAAATTAGCTGGGCGTGGTGGCAGGCGCCTGTAATCCCAGCTACTCGGGAGGCTGAGGCAGGAGAATCACTTGAACCCAGGAGGTGGAGGTTGCAGTGAGTCAAGATCGTGCCACTGCACTCTAGCCTGGGTGACAGAGCAAGACTCCGTCTCAACAAAAAAAAAAAAAAAAAAAATTAAATGTATGCAGAGCTTTCAAGAACTCTATTCATTTAAAGTATGAAACATTACTGTATCATACGAAAGGATTACTTATCATTTTCCTTAAATTTTTAAATTTCAGAGAATAAAATCTACAAAACATCATTTTCTTTTTGAAATTCATTTTTAAATATCCTTGTTTAAAATATTAGTAAGACTTTAGAAATGCCTTTAATTCATTTCTATATTTTCATTTCTTTCCTTTTTATGAAGTCATTATCAATTCTGAATCTTCAAAGATAGCAACAAGCATGAGAGCTTTATTACATCTAAAAAAGGAAACAGAGAAATGGCTAAGAAAGTGAAAAGAGGATGATCCCAGAGATTACAAGGCCCCGTAAATTCATTCCTACCCCTGAACCTTGTTCTGCCTGTCAGCCCCACCTAGGCAAGTTTGCCAAGAACTACCGGATCTAAGTAATAGCACAAGACATGGATCTGTATACGTTCTTGTTGTACTAGATTTCTGTTATCAAAGTACTGCTTATAGTAATGGAATGGGAATTAGTATTCCTTGACTTGTTTAGGGCTCCAGAAGGTGACTTACCTTTATTACTGTTACCTGAGGCCTTCTTGCCAAAATAATCACAAATAACTCCTGCATCTTCACTGTGGCGGCAGTTGTGTCTTCCAATATCTTGCTTGATACAGTCAGCCAAGGACCTCTCATTTCCTGTGCACTTCACATTATCCACATGGATGGGTCCTTTTCCTTCTCCAAAGTAAGCCATGGTTCTTGCTCTGGCAGGACCCCTGAAGACAGAACATTCTTAATCATGTGAAGAATCAGTCAGTCATATATCTGAATAAATCACAACATGTATTCAATTTTATTCCTTAATTTTTACATATTAAAATTAGCATCTGCATGTGCTAAAAACCATTTGTTTCATGACTGTCAAAAAAAATTAAATAAAAAAGGTATTAACTATACTTTCCCATACTCCACAGCTACTTTATTACATCACTTGCCTCTAATTTAGCTTTTTCTAAGAAACTTACATTTAATGGCACATCAAAAAATCATGATAGTCTTTAACTCTCGTTTAAGCAGGAAAAAATCACCTCTAAATTTTTTACCCTCTTAAAGAGTACAATACTCTCTTAATATTGGTATAATATTGCAAAGAAAACAATGAGATTAAATAATAACCTACAGAGGTAAGAACTAATTTTTTTGCCTCCTTTAGAAGAAAAATGTACAATTTTTTTAGGCCGGGCACGTTGGCTCATGCCTAGAATCCCAACACTTTGGGAGGCCAAGGCGGGCGGATCACCTGAGGTCAGGAGTTCAAGACCAGCCTAGCTAACATGGTGAAACCGTTTCTACTAAAAATACAAAAATTTAGCTGGGCATGGTGGCACGTGCTTGTAATCCCAGCTACTTGGGAGGCTGAGGCAGGAGAATCACTTGAACCGAAGAGGCGGAAGCTGCAGTGAGCCGAGATCGTGCCATTGCACTCCAGCTTGGGCAACAAGAGCAAAACTCTGTCTCAAAAATAATAAAATAAATAAAATAAATAAAATAAATAAAATAAAATAAAATAAAATAAAATAAAATAAATAAAATAAATAAAATTAAATAAAATAAAATAAAATAAAATAAAATAAATAAAATAAAATAAATAAAATAAAATAAAATAAAATAAAATAAAATAAATTAGCTGGGCATGTAGTCCCAGCTACTCTGGAGGCTGAGGCAGGAGAATGGCTTGAACCCAGGAGGCAGAGATTGCAGTGAGCTGAGATCACGCCGTTGCGCTCCAGCCTGGGTGACAAGGCGAGACTCCATCTCAAAAAAAAAAGAAGTACAATTTTTTATATTTATTTACTTTTTTTTTTTAAGACACAGTCTCACTTTGTCACCCAGGCTGGAGTGCCATGGCGTGATCTCGGCTCACTGCAGCCTTGAACTCTTGGGCTCGGGAGACCCTCTCACCTCATCCCCCCAAGTAGCTGGGACTACAGGCGCATGCCACCATGCCTGGCTAATTTGTTTGTATTTGTAGTAGAAACGGGGTTTCACCATGTTGCCTAGGCTAATCTCCAACTCCTGACCTCAAGCGATCCACCCACCTTAGCCTCTCAAAGTGCTAGGATTACAGGAGTGAGTTACCACACCTGGCCTAAAAGTACAATTTTTAACGGAGACAGAGAAAAATAGGAATCATGACTAAATGGCAGATTTACTTTTAGTTTATTAATTTTTTGTTTAATAACACATTTTAAAGTATGCAAATACAAAAATATTTAAATGAAATAAATATTTCAAACTAACGCCATATTTAGAACTCAATTTCTGATAAATTAATGAAATAGTTATCAAAGGCAAAAGCTTTCAAGCAAATTAATGAAATAGTTATCAGAAGCAAAAGCTTTCCAGATGAATTATTGGAAAACTATCCTTGAAATCTCAAGTTAGGGAAAAACTTAATAAAGTGGACATAGAGGGTATAAACTATAAATTTTAAAATTGATAAACTTAAAAATTAAGAATGTAGCTTTCCTAAAAACTACTCCAAGGAAAGTGGAAAGATAAATTTAAAAGTTGATATTTCTAGAAATATATTTGTTGGTGAATATACTTTCTAGTAGAGAATAATGGCATACAATAGACAAAGAAATCATTTAAAAAATAAGTAATCTGTTTTTAACAAAACTGTAGGTGATTCTTCTGCGGATAGTTCTCCATCAAACTTTGGCAAAGAAAACTAAGTTATTTCTTCATTGTTGCGCATGTGTTTTAAAATTATTAGACTTCTTACAATTATATATATATCCTTATACATAAATCTTTGTGGGCAGCTTAGATTTCTTCCTAGAAGTTTTATTCTACTTTTTTCTATTTTTTAATCAATTAATTAATTATATTATTTATTGCATTTTTTAAATTTTATGTATTTATTGTATATCACGGTTCTTGTCTGTCTGAAATTTATTTCTGTCTTACTATTAGTGTTAGTAAGAAATCTAGCTTTATTTTTGTCCTTAAAGTAGTTGTCCCAATAACCTGCTGATTTGAAAGTCTTTCTTATTTATCATGCTATATGTGCACAAGCCATTTCTTGGTCTTTATAGTTCAGTAATTCACAACCTTGGCTACCCATCAGAATTGCCTTTGAAAACACTTAAAGTATAGCACAACCTGAACCTCATCTCACATGAATTAAAGTAGAATGGGTAGTGTTTTTTCAAGTTCCAAAATGATTTCAATCTAAAACCAAGGTTGAAAGCCACTGCTGCAGTGTCACTGACCTCTTTGACTATTCCTGTGCCAGTACCACATGGACTGGATTTCAGATGAATTTGGAAGTCAAATCCCCCTCCCCACCCCATATGCACACCAAGAAAAATGAAAGATTTTTACTAGCATAGTATTTAATGTATAAATTTATTTCTATTTTGTCTTCACATTCAGGATTGCGGTACATCTCTTCATTGATAAGGTCTTCTAGCTTTAGTAAAGACTTAGGTTTTTCACATAGGTCTCAATTCTTACAAAGTGTATTCCTAGTTTTTGTTTTGTTGTTAGTTTTTGTAACTTCTACAGATCTGTTTTTCTTTTTATTTTCTACTTATCCCACAGGCAGACGATTGCCTTTTAAGTATTTATGTTTTATCTTGTTACATTAATAAACACTAGTTCTAGTCTCTTTCCAGTTGATTCTCTTGGGTTTTCTAGGTGAACAATCATATTATTCATATAAATATTCTGACCCTTCCTTTTCAATACTGATACCTCAATTCTTAAGGCTTTAGTGCAACCTCCAGACAATGCTATCATTGCAGTAATGGCAGGCACTCTTTTGTTCCTATTTGATGCTTATTTGTGATATAAAATTAAAGCAGTTTAATTTTGTTCTCAGCTTCCTAAGAAGGAATGTTGATTTTATCATATAACTTTTCAACATTATTAAGATATTTGTTTAATCATTTATTAAAATTATTGTATATTTATGGGTGACACACTGAATTACATTAATTGAATGTCTCAGTTTGAATCACTCTTACATTCCTACAACAGACTCCACTTACTGGTGGTATATTGCTCTTTTAATACATTGTAGAATTAAATTTGCTAATATTTTGTTAGCAAAATAACTTTGTATGTAGATTCATTAGATTGAGGTATAGTTTTCTTTTTTGTGTGTTTACTTACCTAGTCTTGAAATCACATTAAATTAGCTTCATAAAATAAATGGAAAGATTTCCATAAGTTTCTTTGCTCTGCAACAATTCATGTAATTCAGAAACTGTTTCTTAAGGACTGGTGAAAAGTCGCCCAGGCTGGAGTGCAATGGCACAATCTCAGCTTACCGCAACCTCTCCCTTCTTGGTTCAAGCGATTCTCCTGCCTCAGCCTCCCGAGCGGCTGGGATTAGAGGCATAAGCCACCACAGCTGGCTAATTTTTGTATTTTTAGTAGAGATGGGGTTTCACCATGTTGGCCAGGCTGGTCTTGAACTCCTGGCCTCGAGAGATCTGCCCGCCGCGGCCTCCCAAAGTGCTGGGATTACAGGCGTGAGCCACCGTGCCCAGCTGTATTGTTAATCTACTAGAGTTTTTGTTTAACCTTCTATATATCTGTGCTTAAATTTCTTTTCTGTTCTCTATGTTTACTTGTATTGTCTCTCCTTTTTCTTAGGCAAAATTGCATAAGATTGTTGAGATTGTTGTTTATTAACCTTCTTTAAAAATAAAAATAATTGCTGATAATGTATAGGTATAATGTAAAGAAATTTGAAATTCAAATCGGCATAATTTGAAGACAATAAAAAATTAATAGAATTTGGAAACAAAAATTCCAGATGATTCCCAGAAGTTTCAGAGGTGAGAATGGGTGGAGGTAGAAAGTAAACAACAATATGTTAAATGTCTTTATCTTTTTCAGGAAGGGGAAGTTACAGATAATAATTTTTGAAATTATTAAGAAAGTATGTTTCAGTATGTTTGCTAAAAATTTAAAGAGAACTTCCAGAAAAACAATAAGAATGTTGAATTTCTAGACCACTGAGAAAAGATGAAAATTGAAAATTGAATTAATCATGAAAATCAAAAAACAGATGATTACACAAAAAACAGAAAATAAAGCATGATAAATAACATAAAAGTAGATGGCAGGTAGAAGTAGACATACAGAAAGTAAAATTTAACTCACTTAAAGAAACCAAAAGGATCATTTCTTAGCAACTGATCAACTTGCACAAACTAAAAAAAAGCACCATTTTAGATATATCAATAAGTAGAAATTAGAGAACATTTTAACAAATAACAGCACATGATTAAATTCTCATTGATATAGTGAAATCTAATACATTTTCTTTTGACTACTCTTTCTTTAAACAATTAAGGACTCTGCCATCCATAGAAAAAAGGGAAAGGCTTCTCACTGGTTTACTGAATCTAGTAATTCATAGCTGAAAATTTCAATGACACAACACTTTCTGATAATTAGTCTTTAAACTGGATGTCAAGTGCTCCTGGTAGATAATAACTTTCCAAGGGATACACAGGCTGTAAGTGAATCAATTTTTATATCCTCAAATTTCACATATATTATTTCTTAAAAATAATCTTGCTGCTATCAAGATCAAACTTCTCTTTCAAAATTTCTCTTCTCTCACTTCACAAAAAGCATATCTTGCACTCACTCCAAATCCTACCGCAGTGCATTCCTCCAAAGTTTGAAAGCCTCTAAAGGGGACAAAAGAAAAATTCAAAATATATGATAGCAATGAAGCTTCCTTAATCCAAGCAACACAAACCCAACCCATTGGTCTAATTAAGAAATGAGAGCTTTGGTAAACTTTTATTTTCTATGTTTAATAATTATTTAATAATTTTATTAAATATTTTGCTGTTTATTATCAGTTGTATACTAGAAATTATAAATTCCAGAGACACCTGAAACTTGTTAGCATAATTTCTCTCTCTCCATGTACGTGTGTGTGTGTATCTGTATATATGCATACATGTGTATATGTATGTGTGTATGTGTGCATATATGTGTGTGTATATATACATATACACACATATTTTTAAGGCATAATAACATTGAGATTCCGTGGGGGAAGAAAATTTAAAATACAACTTCAAGGAGAAAAAAAAACTGTAAAATTTCTGGTCAAAGAAGTATTTTTTGTTCATGTATTTTTTAAAATGGATAGCTGAATCAAATTACTATATTTATATTTCACTGGATATAATTAAGAGTGGTATAACTGTTTTATATTCAAATGTCATACAAATATACCAGAAATTAAGTCCTTTGCAGCTATTTAAATGTAAAATAGATATCAGATACACTTAATTTTAGATCTCTATTAAAGCAGTGAGAATATACAATTTTTAAAATTTTTTTAAGGATTAATACGCTAACAAACATGTTCAAAAACAATGCTATATTGGAACATATGCTACTGGATCCACATAAAGTGTAAATATAATGGAATTTCCGTCATGACTACTTAGTCTATCTCAATGAATTTAACTGATCTCAACACATTCTCTATCAACAATCTACGAACAATATGCTCATATGCTAGACTTTGTCAGACATTATGTAATGCATCAATAAATAATGCCTTTTACTTTCTGTTCACTTTAAGCATATCTGTATTAGTTACCATTCACATTTCCTTTTTTATTATCTCATTTCTGTCTTTCCCATTATGAAAAGGCTTTCTAATACCATTTTGATTCTCAGTATTTCCAAGGACTAATCCTCATGCATCATAGAACTGGCTGGAGGACAGATCTCTGAAATTCCTATTTATGAGGCTCAAATCTTATAACAGCTTCAAAGTTTCCTGGATTGATTTCTACAAATAAGTCCTTTATTAAAGATTTTTTGTGATTCAAAATAGACATGATGAAAAAAAGATCCTCGGCACTAGTCACATACCTGTTTATAATTTATATATATATATATATATACACACACACACACACATATATATATATACTGAAAATATACATATATGTTCTTATATGAAATCCAATTTCCCTTCAGTGGGAAATTATAAAAATATTCAAGTATATTTAATCAAATAGCTAAACAATTCTCATTTAAATACTATTTGATGGCAAATTGCAGATTATGTTATCCAATTTGTTATAGTAACATTAAATTACTGAATTACTTGTAAGACTATTTAAAATGCAATTATAAAGTCTTTTGATGCTTTTCTTGATTGATAAGTATTACAGAAATATTGAAAGCTGCAACAAACTTTGTTCACTTAATCTAGAGTGTGTTTCTCATCTAAAATCACTTCTTTTTTAGCTTTAATTAGGTATAATCAATATAAAAAATCTTCTTCAGTTTGGACATATGCATGTATCTGTGATACCATTACCACAACCAAGGTGCTAAATATATCCATCACCTCCAAAAATTTCCTTGTGTTCTTTTCTGAGGTTTGTTTGTTTGTTTTGTTATGTTCTGTTTCTGTTTTCATTTGGCTTTGGTAAGAACACAAATAAGATCTATACCCTCAACATATTTTGAAGTATATAGTACCATATTGTTAACTATAGGTACTGTATTGTACGGTAGATCTCTAGAACTTATTCATCTTGCATGACAGGAACTTTATACCCATTGAAAAATAATTTCCCATTTTCTTCTCCTCCCAACCCCTGATAACCACCATTCTATTTCTGCTTCCATAAGTTTGACTATTTTCGATATCTCATATAAGTGGAATCATGTAGTATTTGTCTTTCAGTAACTGTATATATATATACACATACATACCACATTTTCTTCATCCATTCATTTAGGCTGTTTCCACATCTTGGCTATTGCAAATAATGCTGCAATGAACATGGGAGTGCAGATATTTCTTTGACATCCTAATTTCAATTATTTTGGCCATATACCCAGAAATGGGATATCTAGATCATATGGTAGTTCTACTTTTAACTTTTTGAGGAACTGTTTTCCATACTGTTTCCATATTACTTTCCACAGTGGCTGTACCATTCTACATTCCCACCAACAGTGTGCATAAGGGTTTCAGTTTCTCCACATCCTCACCAACACTTGTTATCCTTTGTTGTTTTGACCATAGCCATTCTAACATGAGGCTAAATTCACTTTTGAGTTAAATGTTAAATGGACTAAATGATTGTGTTAGGCCATTCTTCCATTGCCATAAAGAAATACCTGTGACTAGGTAATTGATAAAGAAAAGAGGTTTAATTGGCTCATAGTTCTACAGGCTTTACAGGAAGCATGGGGCTGGCATCTGCTTGGCTTCTGCTGATGCCCAGGGAGTTTTCAATCATGGCAGAAGGTGAAGGGGGAACAGGCAAGTCACACAGCAACAGTAGCAGCAGAAAGCGGGGTGGGAGGGTGCCACACACTTTTAAACAACCAGATCTCATGTGAACTCAGGGCATGAGCTCATTTATCAGCAAGGGATGGCCTAAGCCATTCATGAGGGATCTGCCCCCATGATCCAAACACCTCCTACCAGATCCCACCTCCAATATTATGGATTACATCTCAACATGAGATTTGGGTGGGGACAAATATCCAAACTATATCAATGATGATAAATAAAAAGTAATGAACAATTTAGAAAGAAATCCAAGTAATAACACACGACTACATGTGTGTTGATGATGCTTGATGAATATGCCTAGAAAATTTTTCTCTCCTTAAACTTAGCTGAGACACACAATTTGAAGGTCAACTTTGGTGCCAATCTTCCCCTTTGTATTTCCAAAGGTAATACTAGGTTTCCTGGATCACTTCCACCAAGACAATAAAATTAAAATATGGCCAAGAAACCAGTCTCAAAGAGCAATATCTTTTAATGGCTGATTTTGGGTGAGGAAATGTACTGGGAATGTAATGCAAGAACAAGAATAATTTTTTTTTCAAATGGAAAAAGGAGTGATAGAAACACAGTGAGCAAAAGAAGTTTAAAATTAACCACTGACCAAATTCACTTTCACATCTAATGTAGACTCTCCCTACTTTACTGCCCCATATTTTGAAAATTGAAAATTTATATCACAAATGAAGGATTAATTGGCTGTAGGACAACTGGAATTGCAACTGGGTCCAAAACTGAGCCATAAATTGAAGTAGTATCGAGTAACCAGAAACAACTTTGATTTTGAAGTTTACCCCCAACATGTGAACTTTTATTAAAACAGAAATGCTTTTTAAAATAAACATGTATTCTTTATAGAAAATAACCATATGAAGTGTTCAATATTTAAAATGAACACAGATATATAATTAAGGATATATTTTTAAATCCAAATTACTATTAGTAATCTACTCTGAGCTAGGCAATTTATATACATATTATCTTAAATTTATAACCCTCTGAATTGTAACATTTTCCATATTTTTGTTACTTCAAAATCATTACTTAGGGTGCTTTCACAGTCATTCATGACATATGCAGAGCCAGTAAAATTTTAAATTACCCAGCTGAGGTCTAACCAACAGGAGATGATCTGCCTTCTTTTTTGCTCCTCTCACACTGTAAACAAGTGTCCTTTTCACATTCTATTTAGTGCCATGTTCTTATTGTAACTCACGCCTGAGGGAAGCTTATCTAATGCATGCATTTTCTCTCTAAGTCACACCACAACCTTTCTGCACTTAGGAACACTACACAGCACTTCGGTACTATAAATGGGGGCCATTTTAAACAGTGAAGTCATCAGCAAAGCAAGCACAGAAATGCAAAAAAAAAAAAATTGGCACCACACAGACTGTAAAAGAGGACAACTGTTAACAAGTATGAAAGCTGAAACAAGAAGGGAGAGCAGTGACCTCAGCTCTAGGAGCAATGGCTCAGCATTTGCTAATTCAGTGTCCACAGTGACTTTATAACTATCAAGAAAAATGAGAACCAACAGTAATTTCAATAACTCTAGAGTCCCTTAAAAGGCTACAGTGTTGAAACATCAATCACAGAGAAAAGGTTAACTGACAGAAGCTGATACAAGCTGTATTATGACTAGTCAGAGTTATTAGACTATTTTGTTATTAGATAAAAAGCTACATTTCTTGTGTGACATAATATTTTCTGTGAGTAGAAAAATGTGAATAGGCTCTACTTATTACTTCTTTATAATTCTGGATCAAATCAATATGCTGCCAGTATTTTCAAATGAATGACAGAAGCTCATTTTAAGTAAAAAGTAACTCATTAGATTAAGCATTTAAAAATTCAGATATGCTCATCAGTAACCATCCCAAATAATTAGGTTTTCCTTACTTGTAGCCAAGCTGACGACAGATCACAGCTGCATCCTTATCAGTCCATCCATCATCACAGATTGTTCCCCACTGGCCATTGATAAAAACCTCCACTCGTCCTTCTTTCTTATTTTCTCCATCCATCAGTCTGACAGGAAAACCTAAGTCATGATTCAAAAGTATTAGAACAGCCCAAACATGCAAACTGATTCTAAAGCATGAGCGACTCTACAAAACACAATTGTTCTTTTTAATCAGCTATAAAATCAGATGGGAAATACTTTTTTGAGAGAGAGGAGATATATCAATAAAAATTTTATCCACTTTTGTATGTCTCTTGCAGCCTTGAATTCAAAGTGCTCACCTTGCTCAACCTTGTATCCCCAGACTGTGGAACAGTGCCTGGCATACAGAGGATATGCAATTGCTGTTTGTTGAATGAATGAACAGCATTATAAAACTGTGAATTATTTTATTACACCTTACTTCTAAATAGTAAAAGAACATTAACTTGAGGTTGTTTCTGCTTCATGTCTGTTCATTTATCCATGAACAGAGAGCTAGAAGTTTATACACCAAAGACAAGATTTTTAGAACGATATAAATAGACACAATCTTGGCATTCATAGTTGGGTAACTTGATTCAAGTCTAATGCTGGAGGAGGCAAAAAAAAGAAAAGAAAAAGAAAAAAAAAAGCAGTAAATAGGGACAGTTACCATCTAAGGCTTTCTATTGATTTTAAGGGAAAGAATTAAGTCACAAAAATTACTGAGTTAAAAGTTGAGAAACTGAACTCTAGCAAATTAAGATTTATCTAAGTTAATACAAATGAAGGGATTTGTAAAGTGTCACATATCACCACACCAATAATTATGATTTTGAATCGAAACTCCTCACTGTGACTTGCATGGGTTGAATTGTGAGGTCATTAGGGTGAGCCCTAATCAAATACGTTGGTATTCCCATAAAATTGAGAAATTTAGACATGAAGAGGATGATGTGAAGAGACACAGGGAGAGGACTGCCATATACAAGCTAAGGAGAGAGGCCTGGAGCATCTCTCTCTCTCACACAGCCCTTCCCTCACAGTTCTTTCTGAAGGAACCAACCCTACTGACATTTGATTGTGGACTCCAACCCCCAAAACTGTGAAACAATAAACATCTGTGTTTAAGTCACCTCTGTGGAACTTTGTTATAGCAACCCAAGCAAGCTAACACTCACACATCTGATTACCTAGTTACTAGAAGGGTCTCCAGCTTCAGGGCCAAGATTTGCTGTTAAGGATTTAGGGAATACAATAAAGCATGGTAAACTTATTAGCAGAACTAGGGAGGTAGAAGTCTGCAGGTAATGGACAATATATTATTTAATATATGTTTAAACCAATATGTGAAGTTACTAAATCAACATTGGTTAACTAAAAGAAAATATTGTTAGCAAGATGGACACACTCTATTTTTATTCTTCTGACCCATTTTTTACTTCTCCATCCTTCTGTGTTGCCCCAAGAGTTGTTGGCTCCCCAGTCTCTATCCCTAATCATGTTCACTTCATGGGACAAGGCAGTATAGCGGAATCACAGAGCAAAATCAAACTCAACAAATGTTTATGGCGTGCCAACTCTATGTATGCACTGCTTACTATCAGCTGGATAAAAACTTGGAGTTTTAGCTGTGTCATAAAACACAATATTGAAACTTCATATTTCTCATTAATACATCTGAAATTTGGGAGTTCTTTGCAAGAACAGAAAGTGAAAAAGTGATCCTCAGATACCAAAATCAAACAAATGAAATTCTTTTATTAAAGTTTTCACTTTTTATATTTTTGGATATTTGGTTCAAAATTAAGAAAACATTTGCACATGAAATTAGATCTACATGTTCCATTCTGGTAGTTTTACAGGCACATTTTCATATACTCTGAAAATAAAAATGATAAAGTGTTTTTAAAGTATAACTTGCATGGCTTTGTAAAAATAATGCATACAATATTTCTGAACCTAATTTTAGCCATTCATTCTACAAAATCATTAAATTCCTAATTCTTGAAGGGAAACTGGATGACAAAAGTCATGCCATCCATACGTTGTCACTATTAAGTTTGTGTTGTTACAGAAATAATAATACATAGCATGTTTTATTTCCAAAATCTTAAATATATAAAGTTTTTGGAAAAGCTAAACAATCATATTGGTATACAGTTATCTTTAATATATATCTCAAGCTTTCAGTAGTTTTCTTTGATTTTTCCTGTAACATAATACATTATTTTTATAAAATACTACTGTCTTTTAGAAAAAAGATAAATTCTAACATGCATACATACACAGCAAAAGCCTAATTTTAGGCCAGGCTCAGTGGCTCACACCTGTAATCCCAGCACTTTGGGAGGCCAAGGCAGGCAGATCACCTGAGGTCAGGAGTTTGGGGCCAGCCTGGCCAACATGGCAAAACTCCATCTGTACTAAAAATACAAATATTAGCTGGGTGTGGTGGCAGGCACCTGTAATCCCAGATACTTGGGAGGCTGAGGCAGGAGAATTGCTTGAATCCGGGAGGTGGAGGTTGCAGTGAGCCGAGATTGCGCCACTGCACTCCAGCCTGGGTGACAGAGTGAGACTCTGTCTCAATTAATTAATTAATTAATTAATTAAATTAAGCCTAATTTTATACTGTAAAATTGAGTAAGAGGCAACAACCTCACTGGGAAAGAAATCTTTGCCAGGACTTAATACTCTGAACTTTAGAATTAATGTAATATTAAAACGAGAAATCCATATTTTTACCATCCCAGAAATTTCTGCCAACTCACATAACTGTATTCTTACTAGAATTACTTTTACTAATCTAGAATACTGCTTTTGAGCATTTCACCTACCACAGACCCAAAAGAGTGTCTACAGGGCTATAACTAATTTTGAGAAGTTTCCCTTGACATATAAAGTTAAGGTCCAGAAATTAGCCTTCAAATAGCTGAAAACAGCAGTAGTCCAAGAGCTCATCATTGCAGTGCCAAAGAAGTAAAAAATCTCCATTGTTTCCTAAATGCTGTTATTTATATTGTTATCCTGTTATCTCCTCCTCTAAGCTTCCCTTTTAAATATATAGTAGTTTTTAATAGGTGGAAGTAATGATCTATGAATGAACAAATAGTAATATGATTCTATCCCAAAAGGATATTTGGCTCAGATATAATGTTCTTCAGACAAATGACTTTAGTTAATAGACACATTACTGAGATTAGAACCAAAGAGATTCATAATAGTGATCATATATTTTATTAATAATTATCACCCTCAGGTTTTTAAATTTTTTAAAAATACATCTAGAGTCCTAGAATTAAAAAGATTTTCAAGGGAACAGAAAAGATTAGTTATTCCAACCATATGATGTGTTTAACAACACAGGCCTACAGAGAACTCAGGTCACATAGTATTTCATCACTGGGAGCTCACAGAGCATATCTGCGTAGATCATCCCATGATTCCAACACCTGCTATCTGGGGCTGAGAGAATCCATCTCCAGCAAACAAATTCTATCTCCCTCAACCACATCCACCACATAATCCTGGGAGGATCACAAATCTTTCAAAAGAAGGGGCAAGGGAAAAGGAGAACAAAATGAAAAGAAAGAAAAATGGAAATATGGCCTGCAAGAGATGGAATAAAAACATGTATTTCAACTTGGTATAATGCTAGATTAATGCAGTGTCACCAAGCTCTCACAGTGTACAGTACAATGAGGAATCAGCCACAGACTCTGACAAATTTAAAGTATGTAATATGGTTAATACTCTGAGGTTCAAAAAGTTGTTACTTTATAACATGAAGATTTCAGCTTCACAGTCTCCAAACAGGAGAATACAAAGGAGTTGATTCAATCCAAGGTTAAAAGTAAAGACCACCTAAGGCTATTTTAACATCTATTCATACACATACACACACACACACACGCACACACATACACATACACACAGATAGATATATAATAAAGCTGTGATAGCATACAACAAAGTATTTTGAATATTTCCCTCTGTATTTTTCATTCATATATATTCTGCCCTCCTCATCAGACATTAAGAAATTTATCAAGAATGTTTAACTGCTATCTACTCTCAAGAGGATCTTTATCTATAATTATTTCAATACAGTTAGAGGAGCTAGTTACCTTTTATCCAAAAAGTCTAAAAAAATGTAAATGAAGAGTAACAGAGGTCCCTGATGGGTTTCTAAAATAACAAGTTACACTAGAAAGATGGGTGAGCTATTAACTTTAATTAATCCACTTAGAAGACCACTGAGACACTTAAAAGAGCAATGGATGGTTGGTGACCAACGAACGACAAGGCTTCAGGACTAGAGAAGAAATGAACCATGAGACAGGGAGAGGAGAATATTCTTATTTTAAATCCTATCCCAAATAGCTCACTAGAATTCAAGGTAAATGAAAATCAGAATAAGTGACCGAGGAGTAAGGGGAATAGATACTGCAGCTTCTTTATTCCATTTTTCAGATACAGATGATTGTAAACATTGTTAGTGAGGAACTTAATTTTCTAAGTAAAGAAAAACAATTTAGGGGTAGAAATTTCATAATGTTGGCGCACAGACTCAAAAGATTATTTTTCTCTGCATAAAAATTACTGAAAATTAGACAGTTATGGGAAATAGACCCCAAAAAAAGCCAAAGATGAGAAACACTTCATATTCAAGGCCAGTGGTTAGAGGTGCAATGGCTACTGAATGATGGAAACTTGAGAGCTGCAGCCAGTCCTCACCCAGAGAGAGCCTGTGTCCCTCGCCGCCAGGGTAGCAGGCAATGCTAACATCTTCGCGGTGGCTGCAGTCATGCCTTCCCCACTGTCGCCTGGAACACTGAAGAAATCTGGTTTCCTTTCCTGAGCAGCTGACGTCATCCAACCATATGGGCCCTGTGCTTTCTTCAAAATGGTTGGCAGATGCTTGTTTACCATATCTGTGACAATTGAATAAACACTGTGTATAGAACTTCTGTCTCTTGGTTCAGGGAACCACAAAACATTTAACACAAGCAACTTAGTTCAGTGACATGACTTCAGAGGATAAGTATCTGTTCTTTCTCCTACCTTGGGGACGCAGTTTAGAGCTATGTTCGCCCAGCCCATCACATGTTTTAATCACCTTAAAAATGTTCGATTATTTCAACGAATAACAAATGAAAAATTAATACTTTTTCCCCATTCATTCTTGTGTTTTGTCTACAAAACCAATCAGAGAGAATGCAAAGAGATCAATCTCAAATTCCTGACCATAGAAATTGTGACCAGAAAGTGAGAACACTTTTCTCATTTTGCTTCTGATGCTCCCTCTGAACTCATTTGATTTCAGCAGCTTCTCTTTGGTCTTCTTTCAAAATAAAAAGTGTGGATTAGTTCAGTGATTGCTCAAGCACTATACCTAATCCATGATTAAATTTAGATTTCAGCCCATCAAAATCAGAATTATAATATTCTTAGCTTTTCATAAGGTATACAAATTCAACTTTAAAATGTTTATCAATTATATTTGTGTTCCAATTGAGTGTATTTGTAACACTGCACTACAGAAACAAAACCTAAACGTATAATAAATATATATGCTGCAGAAATAGGAGAGATCTGAAAAATTTTTTAAATTAGAAATTAAGTCAATCTGCACCTTCTTTCATCCTCCCAATTTTATTTCCTTTTGTTCCATAAAATCCAAACCTCCAGAAATCACGGAGCTTAAAAATCTTTAAGACACCTTTCAGTTCTAACAGCCTACAAGATTCAACTCTTACTCATATAATAATTCCCTTACTTGATGTTTTTATTATTTCTGTACTAAGAATATGAAGAGATCTTTCTATCTGACATGAATTTTCTTCTTTTTTTATGCAAGTATTTATTAAATTTATTTGACAAAATGAATATTTTAATAAATTAAAACAATGAAAATTTTAATCATTCTATGGCTTCTCTTCCTTCTATTTTGCTGACTAATCAACCCTTGGCTAGAAAAGTAATAAGCCTAAATCGTATATTGCTCACTTTTAACTTATAGACCATTTTTTCACGAAATACATTAGATTATCATCTGTCCATAGCAACTACACAACAGATAACAGGAAGTCATTTTACTTTGGAATTGCATTTGTACAAAAAAACCCAAAGTTTACTTTTTCTCATTACAAAAGAATATTCTTTTTCAAAAATTCCTTTGTAAACTAGAAGCAAATGTAACACATGCTTTGACTACCTTCTAACACAATCATTTAGAGCTTTTTACACACATTATTGAGAACATTTTTAAAATAAATGTGAATACTCTGTGCATAGATTTGTGAAACAAAATAAAATATGAAGAAAAAAATCAGTGTTGTTTTCATTAATAAAAAAATATGAAAAATAGAAATAACAGGATTTATGAATCTCTCTAAATGTGAAAATAAATAGAAATGACATGATTTTATGAATCTCTCTAAATCTGTGAAAACAGAGTATAGTTGGCAGTCTGAGATTCACTTAAATATAAAGTGATATTTATTAACTAATTCTTATCAATTGTCAGCATATTGTATTTATTTGGCTGTCATATCATACCCTTTTACACAAAAATTACAGTAACTTCTCTGCCCAAGAAAAGACAAAATGGGGGAAATTATATGAATATTGTGTTTTCATGATAGCATTACTTATCACAGGAAAAATTAAGCTGACCTAATATTAAGTAAATTACAGTATGAAAATTCTGTGGATATTGTTTTCATTAAAAATTGTGAGTATGTAGCAATATAAGGTTAAAAATGTGGATAAAAATTACATGTCCATTACTAGAGCTGATATGAAGTTATCTACCCAAATTATAATGATAGCATAAGGATAAAAAATTATGGAGT